>NC_000002.12:27062620-27215370 GCF_000001405.40 Homo sapiens | reverse complement strand
GATGAAAGTTTGGACCAGGGTCCTCCAGAGAACAGTTCTGGAGATCCAGCCTGAGGAAATAAAGTAATCAATATAACTGTGTGTTCCTCTTTTTCTTCAGCCACGGCACAGTTTGTATTTGACTACACAACCCCCTTTTCAGCTAATAATTGAACACAGCTGTGTTCAGAGTCACACACTAGGAGCTGTGGTAGACATTTTAATTCTGCATTATCCAATAGAATCGCCACTTGCCACATGTAACTACTTAAATTTAAATTAATGTACCTTAGGCTGGGTGTAGTGACTCACTCCTGTAATCCCAGCACTTTAGGAGGCCAAGCGGGGGAGGATCACTTGAACCTAGGAATTCAAGACCAGCCTGGGCAATATGAATGAGACCCTGACTCTATAGAAGAAAATTAATTTAACCTAAAAATTCAGTGTCTCATTTGCACTAGCCGTATTTCAAGTGCAAATGGAATAACCACGTTAGTAGCTACTGTACTGGTTAGTACAGATACGGAACATTTTCCTTTTTTGAGACAGTCTTACTCTGTTGCCCAAGCTGGAGTGCAGTGGCACGATCTCGGCTCACTGCAACCTCCATCTCCCGGGTTCAAGCAATTCTCCTGCCTCAGCCTCCTGAGTAGCTGAGATTATAGGCACATGCCACCACGCCTGGCTAATTTTTGTATTTTTAGTAGAGACGGGGTTTCACCATGTTGGTCAGGCTGGTCTTGAACTCCTGACCTCGTGATCCGCCCATCTGGGCCTCCCAAAGTGCTGGGATTACAGGCATGAGCCACCGCGCCTGGCTCGGAACATTTTCATAATCACAGAAAGTTCTATCCGCCAGCACTGTTCTAATCGGTTATGCATCTATTGGGAGAAATCTGTGTTTCTTGTCTACATTAGTGAATCTCATATTATGATTTTCAGATCCACAGAGGGCCTTTAAATTAAAAAAAAAAAGTCACATAAATCAAAGTTTTTTTCCACATGTATTTTCTACCACAGATTGGTTGTAAACTGCTGGACATTAAGGATCATGCCACGTTATTTTTTTCTTCAATATCTACTGCTATCCATTCCTTTATTCTACAAATATTTACTGAGTCCCTACAAACTGCAAACACTGGGAGAATGTTAAAAATATGTAACACAGTATTTTGGCCTTTGAGTGGCTTACAATGTAGTTAGAGGAACAAGAGCACTGCCCAAAAATAAAAGCACTGTAAACATTAAATTACAATATAAAAGAAACCACAGGACAGTGTATAAATATATTTGAGTGGACACTAAAGATTACAGGAAGTTTTTAAAAAAGGTATTACTGAATCGCTTGAACCCAGGAGGTGGAGGGCGCGGTGAGCCGAGATCATGCCATTGCATTCCAGCCTGGGCAACAAGAGTGAAACTCCGTCTCAAAAAAATAAATAAATAATAATTTAAAAAAGGTATTACTCTGGAACTTAGTAGTAGTAAATATTCACAAAAGATGTTGGAATTGAAGGATGGATATTTCCTAATTTGGTAGAGGAAGGCAATTTCAGGTATGGAGAGAGGCCTGAACAAAGGTGGAATGCCTTTGAGGGCAGGCAAATCTGGCTGGTGCAGACCATTATGGAGGTTTGAGCGGACAAGTAATTGGAAATAATGTTGGAAAAGTGGGTTGGGACTAGTATGGTACTTAATGGTTTGAATTTTGTCCTGAGACAAAATTTAATACTAAATATAGTATTAAAGCAAGAGAGTGATAATGGAAAATGTTGGTTTTCTAAAAGCTTAATACAGAGAAGTATTTAGGTAGATGAAGGAAAGAAGAGAATGGAAGCAAAACATAACATTTTGAGTTTGAAGTTAGGGTGCACTCAGTAGGAAATGCTTAATAGGAAGCTAGAGGTACCCGTATGTACCTGGAGTGTGGAAAGGTTAAAAAAGACACTAAAGAGATCTAGTTTTGGTAGACATCTGCGTGATGATTACAGCTGAAACCATAATAGGTGGATTCTTTAAATAATATAAGGGTATAAAAGCAGCCAGGCTAAGGAATGGCCTGTATCCAGCATCTAGGGATGTCTTCCCCTCACCCCAAGATGGTGCCCTTCTGATTCAGGCAGCAACGGGCATGCAGCATTAGCTCTCGTGTCGTTTTACAATAAAAGGCCACTTTTGACAAATTTTGCACGCTCCCTGGACATTGGGTGCATATCTGCAGAAGAGAAAGAAACATTAGAACTCCAGAAAGAAAAGCCAAGAAAAGAACAAACGGCGATCAAGAATTAACTGCCAGTACACGTTTCCAGAATTCCTCTAACACGGGGCCGATAAATGGATAAACGGCTCGTGTCCCACCCTTGTAACAGGCTAGGCTAGGAGATGCCATCTCTTCCTCCAGAGTCCTGCGCCGAATCAGCTCCCGACACTTTCAGTACCAGATATCGCACAGGGAAGGTCCTCATCTCTGAAGATCACTATTCGAACTTATTTATTATGCTTTCTGCAGAGACTTCTCAATCTGACAGCCCTAGTTTGGCGCGGTGTAAAACGACCGCAGGTACGTAAAGAACTCATCAAGCATTACAAAAGTACAGCCCTACCACCGCACGATATATGGCGTTCGTGCGTAGAGAGATTACACAAGAGGCAGAGGACCCGTCTGTAGAAAGAACTTAAAGTTATTCTAAAATTAAGGGGCGAAATCAAGTTTCACAGGTCTTTGAAAGTCGGCAGGACTGGGGCGCCGAAGGCCTGCACGACGTGAGTACTTGGGAACAGGACCTGGCTGGGCAGGGTCGGGAAGCGTCAGGGACGAAATCAGAACCGCAGGCCCGCCGAGGAGAAGGGGGAGCCGCTGGCGAGCGCGACGCACGGCTGGCCAGCGACCCTGCTTCAGCCCGACCTCAAACTTGCTTCTGTACCTCGGGTAGCGCCAGAGCCCTTTCCACGCCCAGAGCGAGGAGCAGGGCGGCAGCCCAGGGCACCAGGGTCGTAAGACTACCCGGGTCGTGAGGCGCCATTTTCCGTTCCCTTGGTGCTCCGCTGCTCGCGCGACCCGGCCCCGCGGCCCCGCCCCGCAGCGCGTCAGGCCCTCTTCCCCGGGCGTGGCCTAAGCGGCCCGGTCCAGTCGCCCTGGGGCTGCTTGGGGGCTTTTCCTGCTCGTGGAGCTCTGCGCTGGTCTTCATGCGCCCTAGCCCTCTTTCGGGGATACTGGCCGACCCCCTCTTCCTTTTCCCCTTTAGTGAAGGCCTCCCCCGTCGCCGCGCGGCTTCCCGGAGCCGACTGCAGACTCCCTCAGCCCGGTGTTCCCCGCGTCCGGACGCCGAGGTCGCGGCTTCGCAGAAACTCGGGCCCCTCCATCCGCCCTCAGTAAACATGGCGGCACGGCGAGCGGGGCGGGCAGGGGGCGGGCAGGGGGCGGGGCCCCCGCGGGCTCCCGGCCAGGGCTCTCGGCCGGGCTCTGGCTACCCACGTGTGGAGACCGGGCAGGTGGGCCTGGAGAGCGTGAGCCGGTGCCGAGAGGCACCGGGGAGCGGCGTCTGAGCCGGGGCGGGGACAAGGGGGCGGGGAGGGGCGGAGCGAGCCGGCCTCCGGCGTGGGTCTGAGATCTTAAGTGCGAGCGGTAAGGTGGTGGTCTCCGCCGCGTAGAGGGAAGCGGGAAACCGAGAAAGAACGAGGGTGAGGGTGATGAGGGAAGGGCAAACCTCAAACTCCAGCGGGAGGACACGAGCCTGGATCGCCCCGGGCACCTAGTCCTCTTCACCTCAATGCTGATAGCGCATAGCGTCCCGGAGCCTGGCGAGGAGGTAGGAGCGGGATAGACGCTTCCCTAACTCATTTTCTTTGCCTTCCCAGGAAAAGGGAGCGATGTTGATCTCAGGAAGCACAAAGGGACCTTCCTAGCTCTGACTGAACCACGGAGGTAAGGGAGTGCGTTGCTGCCCCAGGGTGGGCCAGCGCCCTGACTGAAGGGCGCCAGGGGATCCCTGCTCCCGGCGCGACAGTGTTGGTTAGGGCCAGCCAGAAAGCTCCTTAAAGCCGACCCAAGTGATCATCTCGAGTAGCCGAGCCAGGCTTCCCTTCCACATTACCCCCATGGTGTCTGCCTGGAAGTTCCTGAAAGGTTTACGTTTAGCTGGCTGGCAAATTTTCTAAGGTGTTAGTAGCTATTAGCATTTTAAGGAGGGCCCCCAAAGCCTTTCACACCTTGAGGAATTATAGGCCCCAGGACAGATTTTGAGGGAATCTTTTTGGAACAGTTAGTCCTGCAGTGGTCTCATTGCCTTTTGTAGGAGTCAATGCGATCCACTGCAGTGTGTGACCAAAGTGAGTTCAGGTTTTTATTTTTATTTTTATTTTTATTTTGAGACGGAGTCTCGCTCTGTCGCCCAGGCTGGAGTGCAGTGGCGCGATCTCGGCTCACTGCAAGCTCCGCCTCGCGGGTTCACGCCATTCTCCTGCCTCAACCTCCCGAGTAGCTGGGACTACAGGCGCCTGCCACCACGCCTGGCTAATTTTTTGTATTTTTTAGTAGAGACGGGGTTTCACCGTGTTAGCCAGGATGGTCTCGATCTCCTGACCTCGTGATCTGCCCGCCTCGGCCTCCCAAAGTGCTGGGATTACAGGCAGTGATGTGGGACCCCTTTTAAAAACCTGAACTTGGCCTGGCGCGGTGGCCAGGCCACCGATCCGCCAAGGCAGGTGGATCGTCATGTCAGGAGTTTTGAGACCAGCCTGGCCAATATGGTGAAATCTCGTCTCTACTAAAAATACAAAAAAAAAAAAAAAAAATTAGCTGGGCGCGGTAGCACATGCCTGTAGTCCCAGCTACTCAGGAGGCTGAGGCAGAAGAATCACTTGAACCCAGGAGGTGGAGGTTGCAGTGAGCCGAGATCGTGTCACTGCACTCCAGCCTGGGCGACAGAGCGAGACTCCGTCTCCAAAAAAAAAGGGGGGGGGGTCCCACAATCTGCTGTTTGTGCCTTGGCATGTTATAGTTGTAGTGAAACAACAGCTAGCTCTTGCTTTTGGCCGCCCTCTTTCTGGAGAGATGCGAGACCATAGCGTTTGGATCAATGTAGGGTGTTTAGAAAACTACAGATCTGTTCTCAGAATCTGGTCTGTTGCTAGGTCAGGTTTTTCCTGTCTTCCCTGGGGCTCTCTCAGGCCATCCAGGGGAATTCTCCATACATCATGCAAATAGAATTTTATCAGGAAGTCCCATCAGCAGAGTGTCTTTATTTCTGTACCTCCGTGTCCCATACTGGGACTTTCCTTCCTGTCTCTGGCCACCTACCTCTCTAAACCACTAACCCTATAGTTAGTTCTTTGTTCTGTGTTCTTTGCACACAGGAGACCTCTTCTTTCCTCTTACTCCCCAGTAGTTCCCATCATCTCTATCATAGCAGTAAAAACTTGCCAAAGACGAATGAGAAAACTCAGGGTGTTGCAATGTGCAAAGGCCCAGGGCATGTTTAGGTTAAACCAGAGTTTAAGCCTGTTGGGAATCTTGTAGAACATGTGATCCAAGAGTTGCCAGGTCTGATTTTCCCTCTTTATTGGCCCCAAGAGGTTCAGAGTTCAGGTTTAGTCTGCATGAGGCCATATCTTGCCAGCCAGCCAGTGTCTGCCCAAGAACACACTGTGGGAGAGCGGAAAGGCAGCCTAATCTTTCTCCTAGTGGGCAAAAGCAGAAGACATAGTTTATGTTAGTCTGTCTCTTGATTAGTTGAAATCTAAACTATGTCCTGTGAATGACTGACTGCAACACTCTGCTCCTGTCCTGGTTCTGGGAATAGTGAGGACAGGGCCCTTGCTGAACACCTGTCATAGCTGCAGACAGCACTGTTTCTCTCTCTCTTGTTTTGTATCATGCTGCATAACCTTGAGCAAGTTATTTAATCTCTCAGTTTTCTTGTGTTAACTGGAGAGTATTCGTGTCTTAATCTGAGACATGCTGTTTTGAAAATGTTAGCTTCATTATGTATTATTACTAATGTTTATAAAGCACCTCACACACTGCTGGGTTACATAGCAGGTGTTCAGCAAATGTTAACTGTCGTCATGTTAGGCTGTGTAACTACATGGCATTCTCTGGTGTTTTTTCCTCATACCAATAAGTACCCCAGAGGATTGCCTTTGAAGACAATATGATACGCTTGGAGAACAGACAGGGTGGATGGTGAATCCCTAGACCTGGGTTCTAATTTATGCTCTGACAATAGTCGGCTCTGTGCTTTTGGAAAGGTCACTTGAACCATCTGAGCCTTAGCGTGTTTATCTGTGAAATCGTCAGTGGTGGGGGGTTGGTTGTAATAGTGGTGTCCAAAGATTTAAGATTTTAAATATTATGATCCCTTCCCTCTTTCTCTGAGGATTGTGGTGTATTCTTGGGGGATTAACATTTCTTGTGCAGGAGTTAGAAAATCAACTTTCAACTTTCCCATGTTTTCAGTTCCTTCTTTCCAACTCCCTCCCGCACAGAGTGCCAAGAGTACTTTAGGCTGAAAGGCTAATCCATCTAGGAATGCTGTTGAATATGAGCTCCCTCTTCCCTGTTCTGGAGCCTCTAGGGCTGAGTTGGAGTTTGGGGGCCATAGGGTGATAGGGCCATTTGGAACACAGCCATTGGTTCCCTGAAGGGGCCAGAACAAATGACTGCTGAGCTTCACCCCACCCCCAATTCCTGATCTCTCACCTCAGCTACTCATAGAGCCAGATCCTCAGCTCTGCAGCTCCAGGCAACTCTGCCTCAGAACAGGGATTGCTTCTCCAGGTAGGTGTCTGTCCCCAGCAGGATACGACCACTCTCTTTGGCTGGTCCCTTTGCCTCTCAGCTCCGTGACTGGGTTGCTTCTCTCCAGAATGGAGAATCGTCATTCTGAAACCCTGACTCCAGCATGGTGCCCTCTCACCTTTCCCCTCTCACTTTTGAATCCAGCCGCTCTTCCTGCGTCTGCTGTTGACTGTGATGTTGCAGGTAGAGGGGCTGAGAGGTGGGTGGCAGCACTTATCTAGTGGTGTTGGGGAGAACCTTAAGAAAGGGGTTGGCCTGGGGACGCCTGAAATGGAGTCTGTGGCTGCCACAGAGGCAGTCTCACTGATGATCAGTTAGAAGGGTGACACTGGGGATCACAGGAGGCGAGGGCCGAGGCCAGGGGCAGTAGGGGAAGCCCTGCTGCCATTAGTCTCCATGCTGTGTTTCCTGCTGGGCTGTGGCGCCAGGCTGGGCTCTGCTGGCTTAGTGTATTGTAGTGACTGGGTCTGTGCCTTCAAGTGGGGCTGGGAAATTCTGCTAAGAAACTTAGGCTAGAGTTTATTTTTCTTTTGGTACTCGGGTGGAGACCTAAGAAGGTTGTTGAATTTCACAGCTGTGCATACTCAAAGGTCCTGGCCAAGTTATATTGTCTCCTGGCTGTCGCACTCTGATGCTTCTCCCTCACTTATGTCCCCTACCAAACCCATACCAGGGCCTCTAGACCTTGAAGGGCTACCACTATGCTGGCTGGTCCACTTCTGATGGCATGCGATGTACAAGGCCCAAGGGTGAATGGCTACCAAGGCCAGATAGGCCTCACTAAGAGCTAATTCCTTTGCAGCTCACCCTGGACAGTATCACTCCGTGGAGGAAGACTGTGAGACTGTGGCTGGAAGCCAGATTGTAGCCACACATCCGCCCCTGCCCTACCCCAGAGCCCTGGAGCAGCAACTGGCTGCAGATCACAGACACAGTGAGGATATGAGTGTAGGGGTGAGCACCTCAGCCCCTCTTTCCCCAACCTCGGGCACAAGCGTGGGCATGTCTACCTTCTCCATCATGGACTATGTGGTGTTCGTCCTGCTGCTGGTTCTCTCTCTTGCCATTGGGCTCTACCATGCTTGTCGTGGCTGGGGCCGGCATACTGTTGGTGAGCTGCTGATGGCGGACCGCAAAATGGGCTGCCTTCCGGTGGCACTGTCCCTGCTGGCCACCTTCCAGTCAGCCGTGGCCATCCTGGGTGTGCCGTCAGAGATCTACCGATTTGGGACCCAATATTGGTTCCTGGGCTGCTGCTACTTTCTGGGGCTGCTGATACCTGCACACATCTTCATCCCCGTTTTCTACCGCCTGCATCTCACCAGTGCCTATGAGGTGAGCAGGGACAGAAGGGAGAAGTGCGTGGGACACGGGTTGGGGTGGAGAGGAGGGACAGGCACATAGGAAGGACCTGGGACCCTAGACCTCCTCCACCTAATGAGAGGGACAGAAAACTCATTGTGTGTTTATAATTCTTTCTCAGTGATGTTAGGTATAGGGGCAGGATTGGAGAGGAGGGTGCTATGCCGAGTAGGACTCAGAGTGGGTATGGGTTGGATATTCCCTCATGTTCCTGAGCATCTTGAGGGAATTTGTCTGTGAGTTGTCGGGGTGAAGTCAGGAGAAAAATCTTTTTTTCTGTATACCCAGTACCTGGAGCTTCGATTCAATAAAACTGTGCGAGTGTGTGGAACTGTGACCTTCATCTTTCAGATGGTAAGCAGAATGAGGATAGAAACCGAGCCTAGGGCATGTTGGGGGACCTGAACGCAAGCATGCTGAGGGAATTGGAGTCTCCCCTGCTCTCAGATTGGCAGGATTGAAATTCCTGCTAGAGGTTAGCATCTGTGAGGACCCCAGAGGCATCCTGCTGCCCATGCCTTCCAATTCCAGCACAGATACTGTGGTGGCAGCAAGCCAGAATTTGAGAGGAGAAGGAAGAGGGAAGTGAGCCTAGGTGAGGGGAAGCCATGGGCATATTGGCGCTGAGGCCCATCTTTCTTCCTCTCTCTTCCCACCATTCTCCGGCCCCCATCACATTTTTTCCACATGCAACAGGTGATCTACATGGGAGTTGTGCTCTATGCTCCGTCATTGGCTCTCAATGCAGGTGAGGAGTCACACAGCCCCTGGCTTTCAGCCGTGGTAGGTTAGGAAAGCACCTTTGGGAGAGGCAGATGGAGGAGCGTATGTGGAAAAGAACCTGACCTTGAATGGGGAATTAATTCACCGCTTGGGCCCTTGGGTGGGTCTCTACCAGAGGAAGGCTTGGTCCACCTCAATTGACAGCTAGTAACATGTTACCATGCCCTATCTGAACTGGTTAGTCAATATCTTTTGGTGGAGCTCTGCAAACATTTTTCTCCGTTGTGGTGAATGATTTATTTCATTGTTAATGACCAATGCTTTATCTCTGTGGCATGACGTGATTGCCCTACCAGGGCTTCTCCCCTGGGGAACCCTTTTCCAGGGATAAGAATGTGGCTTCTATGCTTACAGTGACTGGCTTTGATCTGTGGCTGTCCGTGCTGGCCCTGGGCATTGTCTGTACCGTCTATACAGCTCTGGTAAGTGCAGTAAGCCGTGGTGTGGGGAGGGGAAGGGATGAAGTAAGGAGGGGACATGGGAAGAGAAGGAAAAGAAGAGATAAGCTGAGAATATAGATGAGGAGAATAGGTGAAATTCTGGGGTGGTAAGATTTATGATAGGATTTAGCAGTGGGGATGGTATATGAAGGTAGAGGATGGGATGGGAATGATGTCAACAGGGTCACAGCAATTACATGCCTAATGGCAGGAGAGTCCCCTCACTGGTAGTATGTTCTTAGGGTGGATGGTTTCAGGAGTGTCCAAGGGAGAGAATATAGTCATGGGTTCTTAGTTTCTGTTTCTGGTTGGGTCAGTAAAGCCCCTTCGTCATCCCTCTTTTATACATATCACCAGAGACAGAAACTAAAAACTGGCTTCAGGCTGCAAAAAGCCTAAAACAAAACAAAACAAAACAAAATGGAGCAACAACAAAATAAGGCAGGTTGGACAAGCTGGGTTTAGAAGGCCTCTGTGGCAGGTTTGCTGTGCTTTCCTTGCAGGGTGGGCTGAAGGCCGTCATCTGGACAGATGTGTTCCAGACACTGGTCATGTTCCTCGGGCAGCTGGCAGTTATCATTGTGGGGTCAGCCAAGGTGGGCGGCTTGGGGCGTGTGTGGGCCGTGGCTTCCCAGCACGGCCGCATCTCTGGGTTTGAGTAAGTATACCCCTACTCCTGGCTGGGGTCTGCAGTGCCTGGGCGCTGAGCCCATCCTAGAGGCTGGTCTTGGCTATAGTAAGCAGAAGGTAAACTGGGAAGCCTGAGGTGTAACAGCAGACAGTGGGAAACTGGTCCTGCAGAGATGGAGGGTGATTACAGGTGCCCGGCTAGTGTTTATAGAGAGTCAGGACATTACCTGGGATGAGTACCTGGAATGAGCCTGGGGTGGAAGAATGGAGCCTCCCTCTAACTGGCTGTGCTGTCTCTCGAGTGCACCCAGCTTCTTGCTTTCAGTGTCCCCCTTGGCCCTAGCAGTGGTGTCTCTCCTTTCCTGTCCACTGACTCCTGTTGCCAAGAGGGCAGGAAGGCTGTGTCTCTCAGGCTTTGCACAATGACTGGGTGGTGTCTGTTACAGGCTGGATCCAGACCCCTTTGTGCGGCACACCTTCTGGACCTTGGCCTTCGGGGGTGTCTTCATGATGCTCTCCTTATACGGGGTGAACCAGGCTCAGGTGCAGCGGTACCTCAGTTCCCGCACGGAGAAGGCTGCTGTGCTGTGAGTGCAGGGACAGGAAGGGAGTGGAGCAAGGTCTAGGGGAAGGGGTTCCCCAGAGATAATTGGGGTGGGGCAGGATGCCAGAGTGCATACACATCCACTGTGGTCAGGATGTGGGTCTCCTTTCTGGAGGTCAGGGGCACACACCTGAGGGTGTCTGTTAACGCCGGCTCTCCTCCTGGCACTGACCTCTTTTGCAGCTCCTGTTATGCAGTGTTCCCCTTCCAGCAGGTGTCCCTCTGCGTGGGCTGCCTCATTGGCCTGGTCATGTTCGCGTATTACCAGGAGTATCCCATGAGCATTCAGCAGGCTCAGGCAGCCCCAGACCAGGTGAGAAGGCGCTGTTCTGTTCCCATGAGGGCAGGCCTGGCCCCACAACAGGAGTGTCTAGGTAGGAAAGGACTGACTGCAGAAAGGACTCCCACCCTGGGTGGGAGACGGTTGTAAAATCCTTTCCCACTCTGAGATGCTAGGAATCTAGCATGTGAGGATCGCGGTCCCTAGCATCACCTAACCACAGTGCTCATCCTACTGGGGTGAGGACCTACCCTTACTGACTCCCCATTGGGCTCCATGTGCTCTGCTGGGAGCTATCACATACCTGGTCTCACCTAAGCCTCTAACAGCCTCATTTCACAGAGGAGAAAACAGACTCAATGAGGTAGCCAGTAAGCAGAAGTCACACTAGTAGCCAGAAACAGAGCTGCGGGCGAATTGTGTCATTCCCTCTGTAGAGCTCATTTTCTCTCCACTTAATGTGTAGACACTTGGGTCAGCAGAGGTGCCCCAGGCCCTGGCTTCCCTTGTAATGCACCCAGTCTCGGTAGACTCGCTGGGGCACATGTAAAGGGAGCTTCCCTGCAGAGCCGGCCCTGGGAAGACCCCTCTCTGAGGACTGCTGTGTACCTCCGCTCTGCTTGCAGTTCGTCCTGTACTTTGTGATGGATCTCCTGAAGGGCCTGCCAGGCCTGCCAGGGCTCTTCATTGCCTGCCTCTTCAGCGGCTCTCTCAGGTACCCACTTTAACGATTTCCCTCAGGCCTGGTGCACCTGACCCCTATTTGGTACAAGGTGATGGGTGGAGCGGGGTGATAGTGGGTGGGGAATCCCTCTAAGTTTCTCACTGTGCCTGCCCCATCTGTGTGCATGACAAGGGATAGCTCATCTTTGTAGGCCACAGCACAACAGAGATACCCCTGTTTTGGTTAAGAGTTCTTTTATGGTACCAGAAATTGATCTACTCGAATGAAACCCATATCCACATTCAAAAAAGGACTGTGTCCTTGCCTTCCAGGCCCGCTCTGAGGTGGCATCAAGTCCAACTATGAGGAGGTTTCTTGGTGGTACCTGTCATCTCCCCGCTTTAGGACACCATTTCCTCCATAGAGTCCCATAGAGCTGACAATTTTGCCTCGCTCAACTCCTCATCCTCTTCCTCTTTTTCAGCACTATATCCTCTGCTTTTAATTCATTGGCAACTGTTACGATGGAAGACCTGATTCGACCTTGGTTCCCTGAGTTCTCTGAAGCCCGGGCCATCATGCTTTCCAGAGGCCTTGGTGGGGTTATGCTTCCTCATCTCTTCAGTCTGGGTCTTTCTAAGCTTCATCCTGACCATTGTCATCAGTTTGCTGTAAAACACCCACTTTATCCGGGGCTCAGCACTTGCCTAATGAAGCACACAACCTTCCCTGCATGCATGGTTGTTTCCATCTCAGGGCATGTCCTAGGGAGGTCTCTGAGTCACATAGGAGTGAGGACTTGGTGGGAGGAAGCTGGGGCGTGATGTAATATGCCTTTTGTTTCCAGAGAGACAGAGGTGGTAGTTTGGCTGGGCAGGGAGCCTTGCTTTACCCCATTGCTTGTGTTAACTCACACCTTCTTGTTTCCTCTCCTGTCCTTTTCCCCCAGCCTTTGGCTATGGGCTGCTTTGTCTAGGAATGGCCTATATTTCCTCCCAGATGGGACCTGTGCTGCAGGTAATAACTATAGAGGGTAGGAAGCAATTTTAAGGGAGAGAAGGAATTGATTGAAACAGGAAGTTGAGAAGGGCAGCTATATTGAGGGGAATGACCGGGGGGCAGGCGTAAGAGATTCCCCTTTGATGGACCGTCTTTACTGTGAACAGACTTGCAAGCAGCCAGAGGACGCAGGGTCATTCCTGGGATGTTGTAGGCTGAGAGAGAGCTAAGGATCAGCCTCAGAGAACTCAAAACACATCCCTCTCCATCAGCCCCCTAGCAGCCTTTCCTGCCCTCTGGAGTTCTTTTTTTTTTTTTTTTTTTTTTGAGACAGAGTCTCATTCTGTTGCTCAGGCTGGAGTGCAGTGGCGCGATCTCAGTTGACTGCAACCTCCACCTCCCACATTCAAGTGATTCTCCTGTCTCAGCCTCCTAAGTAGCTGAGGGACTACAGGCATGTGCCACCGTGTCTGGCTAATTTTTGTATTTGTAGTAGAGACGGGGTTTTACCATGTTGGCCAGGCTAGTCTGGAGCTCCTGACCTCAGGTGATCCTCCCGCCTCGGCCTCCCAAACTGCTGGAATTACAGGCATGAGCCACCGCTCGGCCACCTCTGGAGTTCTGATTGTTCCCACAGAAGAGACAGATCTGACAAGTGGGGCTCCAAGGTCATGGCTGGTGGCTATGCTTTATGGTGAGTCTGGGCATCTCTGAGTCTGTGTTCTTTTTCCTTTTCTTCTCACCCTGTCCTCCTAGGCAGCAATCAGCATCTTTGGCATGGTTGGGGGACCGCTGCTGGGACTCTTCTGCCTTGGAATGTTCTTTCCATGTGCTAACCCTCCTGTGAGTGATGCATCTGGATCCACAGTCATGTGTAGCAGGATGGACCTGGGGGTTGGCAGGGCTGTCACCAGGAGAGCTGAGGACTGCCGTGAGGGCTGGCAGGACTGGCCTTGTGACAGGCCTGCACTGTGTCTCGGCAGGGTGCTGTTGTGGGCCTGTTGGCTGGGCTCGTCATGGCCTTCTGGATTGGCATCGGGAGCATCGTGACCAGCATGGGCTCCAGCATGCCACCCTCTCCCTCTAATGGGTCCAGCTTCTCCCTGCCCACCAATCTAACCGTTGCCACTGTGACCACACTGATGCCCTTGACTACCTTCTCCAAGTAAGGCAGGGCTTGCTATCTTCTTGTTTTCTCAAAGCCCTCCTTTGAGGGCTTTCACAGGGGTCTTGCTAAGGGATGGGCCACCAGAGGCCCCAGGGAAATGTTGGGTATTGGGTCCCAAGACCCTGGGACCATGCGGGCAAGTAGAGATTGGTGCCCAAGGAATGCCCTGCCAACGAATTGCTAATTGTTCTCACCTCTGCTCTTCCCAGGCCCACAGGGCTGCAGCGGTTCTATTCCTTGTCTTACTTATGGTACAGTGCTCACAACTCCACCACAGTGATTGTGGTGGGCCTGATTGTCAGTCTACTCACTGGTAAGGGTGTGGGATTGCGGTGCAGATGAGCACCGAGGGGTTAACAGAGGGCCCTAAGGGACTCTAGGGAGAAAGGCTCCTGCCCTCTGAGCTCTTGGGTGTCCGTAGCTGTCAGGCTTTTCTGCTGGGATGTAGGAGGTGGGTGGGGGCTGGGGTCTCTGGGGGCCAAGGGAGGACATGGGGCCCGCTGCTGTGGATGGTTCCACCCAGAGACTCAGAAGCACATTTCCATTCAGGGAGAATGCGAGGCCGGTCCCTGAACCCTGCAACCATTTACCCAGTGTTGCCAAAGCTCCTGTCCCTCCTTCCGTTGTCCTGTCAGAAGCGGCTCCACTGCAGGAGCTACGGCCAGGTAGTACCTGCTGTCCAAGTGACCCCTCCCTGCCCTTCTCCACAGATGCCACTGACTCTTCAGGTTCCCTTCTACCCCTTTTCTCTCCCCCTGCCCCGGGTGCCTCTCTCAGGATCAGCTAAGCCTAGGCTGTCCCACACGGCTGTCTCAGGTTCTACCCACAGGACTGCACTGGCTTGGTGGGCAGAAGGATCTCAGGGCTCAGAGGAGCTCAGCCCCAGCCTGGGCCAGTCAGCTCCCCTCCCCAGCCCACCCTGTGCTCCCTGCTGTGCTATGCCCTCCCTCTTTTCCCCCTGCTCTCCCTCCCGAACCCAGCCTTGCTGGGCTCCCTTCTGGCGGGGACCTTTTTTGTGTGAATCCTGTCAAGCACCCGTCATCCGTCTTCACCAGTTCCACCCCTTTGGCTCTGTGTTTGCAGGACCACCTCGACACTGGCCTGTTTCCTGAGAAGCCGAGGAATGGTGTGCTGGGGGACAGCAGAGACAAGGAGGCCATGGCCCTGGATGGCACAGCCTATCAGGGGAGCAGCTCCACCTGCATCCTCCAGGAGACCTCCCTGTGATGTTGACTCAGGACCCCGCCTCTGTCCTCACTGTGCCAGGCCATAGCCAGAGGCCACCCTGTAGTACAGGGATGAGTCTTGGTGTGTTCTGCAGGGACAGGCCTGGATGATCTAGCTCATACCAAAGGACCTTGTTCTGAGAGGTTCTTGCCTGCAGGAGAAGCTGTCACATCTCAAGCATGTGAGGCACCGTTTTTCTCGTCGCTTGCCAATCTGTTTTTTAAAGGATCAGGCTCGTAGGGAGCAGGATCATGCCAGAAATAGGGATGGAAGTGCATCCTCTGGGAAAAAGATAATGGCTTCTGATTCAACATAGCCATAGTCCTTTGAAGTAAGTGGCTAGAAACAGCACTCTGGTTATAATTGCCCCAGGGCCTGATTCAGGACTGACTCTCCACCATAAAACTGGAAGCTGCTTCCCCTGTAGTCCCCATTTCAGTACCAGTTCTGCCAGCCACAGTGAGCCCCTATTATTACTTTCAGATTGTCTGTGACACTCAAGCCCCTCTCATTTTTATCTGTCTACCTCCATTCTGAAGAGGGAGGTTTTGGTGTCCCTGGTCCTCTGGGAATAGAAGATCCATTTGTCTTTGTGTAGAGCAAGCACGTTTTCCACCTCACTGTCTCCATCCTCCACCTCTGAGATGGACACTTAAGAGACGGGGCAAATGTGGATCCAAGAAACCAGGGCCATGACCGGGTCCACTGTGGAGCAGCCATCTATCTACCTGACTCCTGAGCCAGGCTGCCGTGGTGTCATTTCTGTCATCCGTGCTCTGTTTCCTTTTGGAGTTTCTTCTCCACATTATCTTTGTTCCTGGGGAATAAAAACTACCATTGGACCTAGAATTTGGGCTCCTGTACTGTCTTCACCTGCTCTTGTCCACCCTACTGCATCCTCTGGTGAGGATAAGGAGTCCTATCCTATGTACAGGTCACCTTCCTGTGCTGAGGAGGGGGGCTGTGGCTTCAAGTCCCTGCTGTCCCTGTGTCTGCAGGGGACAGTGTTGTGCTCACCATGGTAGAAGATGCACACCCTCTCCTAGGGCTTCTCATCCCCTGGGGCTTACTTAGTCTGTCCCTTCTCCGGCCCCACTTTCCCTTTGCCAGAACCTTTTGCTCTCAGATTTTTACTTTTGGAACTGGAGGAAGAATGTTCCCATCTGATTTTAGAAACGGAACATTCTAGCTGGACTTTTATGGTCTTGTGAAGAACACTGTGCTCACACCCTCCCACACCTGGCCTCTGCCCCTGCCTGGCCCTGTTCAGCTGCCCACATCAGCTCTGCACCAGCTCTCCGGGGTCTCTTAACAGAGACCGGGTCCCAGGCATATCTGAATTCAGCCTCAACTGAGGCCTTCTCCCAGGGCTTCTAGAGCACATTCCAGCTGTTCTCTCATACTCCATGTAGCTTAGGCCTGGGATGTTCTGTGTCCCTTTTTCTACCTCTACCCCAGCTCACTCGGTCACACCCCAGCCCCTTTCACCTCTGCCCTGGCCAGCCCTGTGGAGGAACAGGGCCTGGTTGTGCCAGAGCCAAGACACTAGCTACTCCCAACCTGCCTAGGCCTCATTTATATTCATGACGACAATATTGTCTCCTAATGGGTCTTAAACCTGTTGCCCTGGATTTTTTTTTCCATTCCACAAGGCTCTGGTCTTGAACATAAACATTCCTTCCAGTATGGACTTCAGGTGTCTGGTCATGATCTATTCTCAGTCTGGGAAGGTACTTTGACAGGCCAAAGGTGTGTCCACTGAATCTACCATATTTCAGACATGCCTGAGTGGTACTCCAGGGAGAACTGGGGAGAATGATCCCCAGGGTTTAATTTGCTGAATTAGGTAGGGTGGAAGTGAGTCTATGTAAGAGGACATGGAAACATTTTACGAGGGGCCCTTGGACTCAGGCCTATTTTGTTTTGTCCTGTGAATTAAAACTTCAATGATGGGAAGATAAGAAGCCTATAATTATTATTTAGAAAAGATTCCTTTGGGAGACCGAGGCAAGACGGTTGCTTGAGGCCAGGAGTTCCAGACCAGACTGGGCAACATAACCAGATCCTGTCTCTACAAACACAAACTAGCCAGCATGGTGGCATGAGCCTGTAGTTCCAGCCACTTGGGAGGCTGAGGTGGGAGGATTGCTTGAGCCCAGGAGGCTGAGGTTGCAGTGAGCCAAGATTGTACCACTGCACTCCAGCCTGGGCAACAGAGCAAGACCTTGTCTCTAAAAGAAAACAGAACACAACAAAATCCCTTTTCCTTCATAGATTGTTTTTGGGGAATGTAATCGAATCTATCATGCCAGACTCCCAAATTCAAGCCTTATTTGTTTCCTGGTTCAGGTGTCCTGGTAGAGCTGCTTCTAGGACAAGGTCTTACCAATGGAGGCAATAGAAACTGAGAATGTCTGTAAAAACTAGAAGTGGACGATTTATATCTCAAGCCCTACAAGAAGGAGAGACTGGTGATTGTCACCAAGAACTGTTGAGGGAATGGGATCATCTCTGGATTCTTAGGGCCTGATCTCTGAACCCATTTTCTGGCCAAGCCAGTGTCTGTAGGAGAGTTGAGAGCAGGATGCCCCTCACTGCTGCCCTTGGTCCAGGGCTTTACATAAAAAATACCACATTGGTCATATCTGCAAACATTGGGATTGTAAAGTAAGTAATGCCCAGAACTGCACTCTGTAAGTCCTCCAAGAACTGTGCATCCTTCCATTAGAAGTGAGGACAGTCCCCGAACATGCCAGGTTGACTCTGCCCCGAGGTCTGCCCTCTTCTCCTTAGTCCCTCCTCCTGGGACCCAAGGGCACTGTTCCTTGGTTAACTACCTTACCCTACCAATCTGACAAAATTGTAGACCTAAGTGGGACCTCATTTGTTCGGTATATTTATCAATCACCTACTACATTCAAGGGCCTCACTTTTTTTTTTTTTTTTTTTTTTTTTTTGAGACAGAGTCTTGCTGGAGTGCAGTGGCGCAATCTCAGCTCACTGTAACCTCCGCCTCCTGAGTTCAAGCAATTCTCTGCCTCAGCCTCCTGAGTAGCTGGGATTACAGGCACCCGCCACCATGCCCAGCTAATTTTTTGTATTTTTAGTAGAGACGGGGTTTCACCATCTTGGCCAGGCTGGTCTTGAACTCCTGACCTCGTGGTCCACCTGCCTTGGCCTCCCAAAGTGCTGGGATTACAGGTGTGAGCCACTGCACCTGGCCAGGCCTCACCTTTTATACAGCTAAAGAAACTGCTATGCCACCCCAGGACTCTACCAGGTGTCAATCTGAAATTCTTGCATTTTAACTATATTTGCATAGAAGAGGAAATAAGAATGCCACAGGATTAAAAACTTTCAAGAGTTATGATATTTAAGGGCAAGTGGCAAAAAGATCCAATTCGTACAACTTTCAAACCTTATAACAGAGGGCAAAGATGCTCTTTCATTTCTAACATAGTAAACCTTTTTCTTCATGCAGCATTTAAAAAGTACTGTTTGATGGTTATGAGGGTGTAGTCTAAGGCTTGGGTTCAAATACTGGTGCATGCATTTAACCTTAAGCTTCAGTTTCTTCATCTGTTAAATGTGAAATTCACAGGGTTAAGGACTCAAAACTATGTTGCGTGCATATATGTACATATATGTATATATGCATTCCTTAAATATCAGTTATTGTAATAATTATTCATTGTAGTTTTCAAAGCACTTTTCATATACTACCTGATATTATTCCTTGGGAAAGAAATACTTCCTATATCGCCTGCGTTTTTAATATATAAAGTAACTGGATTGCTTGGCTGGTAAGTGCTTGAGGCAGAGCTAAAATGAGGGTCTGTGACTCCCAGTAGCCCACCAAGTTGTATTTGTGTTGTCATGAAAACAATGTCCTTTTGGATAGGATATTGTTACCTGTGTTCACAGAGTGTTTTCTGGGACATCAGTCCCTAGTACAGTGAGGTGCTAAGTTGGCGGCGATGGTGCTATATCATTCTAGAATCTTCCTGGAGCAGTGGCTTGAAAACTTTTTTGACTGAGACCCACAGTAAGAAATATATTTTACATCATGATCCAACACACACATAAATTACATATATGTTTGTTTCTTTTTTTTTGAGACAGGGCCTTGCTCTGTCGCCTAGGCTGGAGTGCAGTGTCACCATCTTGGCTCACCATAACCTCTGTCTCCCAGGCTCAACTTGAGCAATCCTCTCACCTCAGCCAGGGCTACATGGGGAAGTAGTTAGCCAGGGAACAACCCATAACATGATGTGAAGAACTCACATCAATTACAAACAAGGTAGTTTGGAGCCATTGACTTGATTCATGCTAAGATGGCTGCAGTTTTACCCAGATTGCTTTTACAATATCAGTGCAAATATCCATAGAGTGAAAATGGCAAATTACATTTTAGTATTACCGTATAAGAAAACAGTTTTCCAATTTCATCCATGTCCCTACAAAGGACATGAACTCATCATTTTTTATGGCTGCATAGTATTCCATGGTGTATATATGCCACATTTTCTTAATCCAGTCTATCATTGTTGGACATTTGGGTTGGTTCCAAGTCTTTGCTATTGTGAATAGTGCCGCAATAAACATACGTGTGCATGTGTCTTTATAGCAGCATGATTTATAGTCCTTTGGGGACTGTTGTGGGGTGGGGGGAGGGGGGAGGGATAGCATTAGGAGATATACCTAATGCTAAATGATGAGTTAATGGGTGCAGCACACCAGCATGGCACATGTATACATATGTAACTAACTGGCACATTGTGCACATGTACCCTAAAACTTAAAGTATAATAATAAAATAAAAAAAAAAAGAAAACAGTTTTAACTTTAGCGACCCCTTGATGTCATCTCAGGGACCCCTAGGGTTTCGTGGACCACACTTTGGGAACTGTTGCCCTAAACCAGGAGACATACAAGAACTATCATAATAACACACTAACCTCAGGCCAGGCGCCATGGCTCACGTCTATAATCCTAGCACTTCGAGAGGCCAAGGCGGGCAGATCACTTGAGCTCAAGAGTTCAAGACTAGCCTGGCCAACATGGAGAAACCCCATTTCTACTAAAAATAAAAAAAAAAAATAAACGAAAAAATTAGCCATACGTGGTCGTGCACGTCTGTGAGCCCAGCGTGAGCTGAGATCGCGCCACTGCACTCTAGCCTGAGCAACAGAGCAAGACTCTGCCAAACAAAACAAAACAAAACAAACAAAAACATAACCCCAATCTGGAGACAACCCAAAAGTCCATACGATCTAGTGTTACGTGCTTACAGGGGTGCTATGTAGCAATGGCAAACAAATTAACCACAATCACACACATTGACAGAACAATGTTGATCAAAAGAGAGCAGTCACAGAAGGAAACACTATGATTCTCTTTGTTAAAGTTCAACATGGAAAAAATTAAGCTCTATTGTTCTTGGCCCCATAAGAAGGTGGTAAAACCATGAAAAAAAGGCAAGGCAATGATTAACCCCAGGGTCAGGATAGTGGCTCCTTGAGGGAAGAGGGTGGATGATGTGGTCAGGGATGAGCTTTAAAAGTACCAGCACTGTTGTAGCGGACATCATAGAGGTTCACTTCATTTATTTATTTATTTTCTCTTTGAGACGGAGTTTCGCTCTTGTCACCCAGGCTGGAGTGCAATGATGCAACCTCAGCTCACTTTAACAAACTAGCCAGCACGGGTTCAAGCAATTCTTCTGCCTCAGCCTCCCAGGTTCAAGCAATTCTTCTGCCTCAGCCTCCCGAGTAGCTGGGATTACAGGTGCCTGCCACCATGCCAGGCTAATTTTTGTATTTTTGGTAGAGTCAGGGTTTCACCACATTGTCCAGGCTGGTCTCGAACTCCTGACCTCAGGTGATCCATCCGCCTCGGCCTCCCAAAGTGCTGGGATTACAGGTGTGAGCCACTGAGCCCAGCCTAGATGTTCACTTTAAACATTACAAATATGTATGTATTAAATGTGTGTATCTCACGGTAAATATTTTAAATCAATTGATATCACATGATGATCACTGGCATTGCTGTCTATTTTCAATATATTATTAAGGAGAAAAAGCAAGATGCAGAATAACATATAATATGCTACCATTTCTAGTAAAAATGATGAGCAAAAGAATATGTCAGTACTTGGCTGGCCGCAGTGGCTCATGCCTGTAATCCCAGCACTTTGGGAGGCCGAGGCAGGCAGATCACAAGGTCAGGAGATCGAGACCGTCCTGGCTAACACGGTGAAACCCTGTCTTTACTAAAAATACAAAAAATTAGCCAGGCGTGGTTGCAGGTGGCTGTAGTCCCAGCTACTTGGGGGACTGAGGCAGGAGAATGGCGTGAACCTGCGAGGCGGAGCTTGCAGTGAGCCAAGATTGCACCACTGCACTCCAGCCTGGGCAACAGAGCGTGACTCCATCTCAAAAAATAAAATAAAATATGTCAGCACTTGTTTGCATATGCATAAACTATCTCTAGAGTACTATAGAAGAAACTAACAATGATCACTGGCTGAGAGAGGGGCCAGCAGGAAGGGAGACAGGGGTAAGAGGGGCCTGATCTCTTATCTCTGTATGCTTTTTTTTTTTAAATTCTTTTTGATTTAGACATGGCTATCACAGAATTTCTATGCCTTTTTATACAATTTATAAAGGATAATATTTTAGTATTAGTAATACAAGAACAATTCCAGTATTACTAATACTAAAATCAATCCCTCCCTCCCTTCCTTCCTTCCTTCCTTCCTTCCTTCCTTCCTTCCTTCCTTCCTTCTTTCCTTCCTTTTTCTTGAGACAGGGTCTCATTGTGTCACCCAGACTGGAGTGCAATGGTGCAATCATGGCTCACTGCAGCCTTAACCTCCTGGGCTCCAGTGGTCCTCCTACCTCAGCCTCCTGAGTACCTGGGACTACAGGTGCACACCACCACTCTTGGCTAATACTTTTGAATTTTCTTTGCAGAGATGCAGGTCTTATCTTACCATATTGCCCGGGCTGGTCTCAGACTCCTAGGCTCAAACAATCTGCCCACCTTGGCCTCCCAAAGTGCTAGGATTACAGGTGTGAGTCATTGCACCCGGCCAAAGTATTTCTTAAAGCCCTATACATCAGGAAATTTAAAAATACTCCTAAATAACATCTGCATTAAAGAGAAAATCACACTGGAAATTATAAATCCTTTAAAAATGTACTGCAGCTAGAGCATCACATAGCAAAAACTGTGGCTTTAGATGGGCTATCTTAAATGTTCAATAATCTGATGGGCAAAAAAGAAAATCTCATTTAATTTGCTTTGTTTGATTAGTATTGAGTTTGAGCACCTTTCTCTTTTTTTCTCTTTCTTTTCTCCTCCTCCTTTTTCTTCTTTTTTGATTTAGATTTTTCTGTCAACTTCCTGGTCACATCCTTTGTCAATTTAAAACATTGTCAGAACTCTGTATATGTTCTGAATAGTAATTTCGTCAACAGTTTTTTCCCCTCACTCCCTTTTCCTTTAAATTTGATTATTTTAGTATTTCTTTTAACTCAAGTTTTAAATTTTATGAACGCAAATCTCTCAGTCTTTTATAGCTCCCATTGTTTGTTTGTTTTTGAGATGGAGTCTTGCTCTATTGCCCAGGCTGGAGTGCAGTGGAGCGATCTCGGCTCACTGCAACCTCTGCCTCCCGGGATCAAGTGATTCTCCTGCCTCAACCTCTGGAGTAGCTGGGATTACAGGCGCACACCACCATGCCTGGCTAATTTTTTTTTTTTTTTTTTTTTTTTTTTGAGACGGAGTCTCACTCTGTCGCCCAGGCTGGAGTGCAGTGGCGCGATCTTGGCTCACTGCAAGCTCCGCCTCCCGAGTTCACGCCATTCTCCTGCCTCAGCCTCCCGAGTAGCTGAGACTGCAGGCGCCCGCCACCATGCTCGGCTAATTTTTTTTGTATTTTTAGTAGAGACGGGGTTTCACCATGTTGGTCAGGAGGTCTCCATCTCCTGACCTCGTGATCCACCCACCTCGGCCTCCCAAAGTGCTGGGATTACAGGCATAAGCCACCGTCCCTGGCCCAGCCACCGCTCCCGACCCAGCTCCTGGGTTTTGTATTTTGTTGAGGAAGGCATTTACTACCCCAATATTAATAAAATATAGTTTAAATATTTAATATTTCAACTTTTTTCTCTAAATGTTTAATCGTTTTACCACCTGTGTTTGATGTGATGGGGTAGAAGATTCAATCTAATGTTATTTTTTCCTTCAGTGGATAGCCAATTATTTCATACAATTTATTGAAAAAACCACTCTTCCTTCGAGACCTTAAATGCCACCACTATCATAAGCTACATTTATATTGCAAAATCGATTTATATTTATAAACTTTCTGTATATTTAGATCTACATTTTCATATATGGCAGGGAAAATTCCTACTCATAATCTTTTTAAAGATTTTTTTTTTTTGGCTGTTATTGAACATTTCTCTTCCAAAAGAGAATCAGAATTCTCCAATTCCAATTTTAAAACCCTATTAAGATTTTATTAGGATTGTATTAAACTTATAGACTAATTTGATTGTCTCACATGACAACAGCAGAGAAACTGCTTTTCCTGAACGACGTGAGTGCCACATCTGTGTGGCTTTCCATTCAGTTTTTCATGTGTGAATTTTGGTTACTTGCTTTTGACAGGCAATCTCAGAGAGCCCTCGCTCTGTCTGAATTGTCCACAAGGGGTCCCCAATATCCAAAGTATGGATGGTGCTTATAGTGAGCTCCCCTCTCAGTCTTTGCATAGGCACTGTTATTTCAAAATGGCAAGCAGGCTCAGATTATTAAGGTTCAATTAACTTGCATTATTTGCATGTAGAAATGCAGTAGTGATCCTAACCAACCTGGTTTAATCACCTCGACAGATTGAAAGAAGCTTTCCATTTACTCTGCAAAACATACTGACCAGTGGGCAAAGCCCACTGAAATCCCACAGCTAGTGGCTACTCTGAAGCAATCGCACACACGTGACTCTCCCACTGGGTTGCCAAGAATCAGTTGTGTTTTTTTCTCAAATCTGTGTTTGCTGATTGTACAGGTATTCTAATCACCTTGTTGTTATCAGGTGGGAGCAGAAGGCCAGGTTCCCCACAGAGCCCCCATTAACACCCTGGGAGGAGCACCTCATTACATTTGGGCAGGGGTGTTAAGTTCAGGCTCCCCACTAGCCTCTGCTGACACACCGTGGCTGGGGAGGAGTGCTTCCTACGTGGTCTCCAGTGACACTGCGGGTGTGGGACTTTCTGATGCTAGGGATTTCTATTCTGAACACTTTATGTAAATGGAATCATAACATATGTGGCCTTTTGTGCCTGACTTCTTCACTTACCGTAATGTTTTCAAGGTTTATCCATGTTGTAGCATACATCAGGACTTCATTCCTTTACATTGTAGATGTACTACATTTTGGGCCAGGTGTGGTGGCTCACGCCTGTAATCCCAGCACTTTGGGAGGCCGAGGCGGGTGGATCACCTGAGGTCAGGAGTTCAAGACCAGCCTGACCAACATGGTGAAACCCTGTCTCTACTAAAAATACAAAAAATTAGCCAGGGGTGGTGGTGGGCACCTGTAATCCCAGCTACTCGGGAAGCTGGGGCAGGAGAATCACTTGAACCTGGGAGGCAGAGGTTGCAGTGAGCCGAGAGTGCGCCACTGCACTCCATCCTGGGCGACAAGAGTGAGACTCCGTCTCAAAAAAAAAAAAAGGTGTACTATATTTTGATAATTTTCTTTGTTTTGTGTTTTTTTTTTTTTGAGATGGAGTCTCACTGTCACCCAGGCTGGAGTGCAGTGGCGTAATCTCAGCTCACTGCAACCTCTGCTTCCTGAGTTCAAGTGATTCTCCTGCCTCAGCCTCCCGAGTAGCTGGGACTACAGGCGTGCGCCACCACGCCTGGCTAATTTTTGTATTTTTAGTAGGGACAGGGTTTCACCATGTTGGCCAGGATGGTCTCAATCTCTTGACCTCATGATCCACCCACCTTGGCCTCCCAAAGTGTTGGGATTACAGGCGTGAGCCACTGCACCCGGCTGATAATTTTCCATTGCATGGATGTGTACTACATTTTGTTTATCCATTCATCAGTTCATGGACATTTGGGTTGTTTCCATTTTTGGCTATTATGAATAATGCTGCAATGAACATTCATGTACAGGTTTTTGTGTGGATACGTTTTCATTTCTCTTAGTTATATACCTAGGAGCGGAATTGCTGGGTCATGTGGTAATTACGTTTAGCCTTTTGAGGAATTAGCAGACTGTTTTCCAGAGTGACTGCAAACTTTACATTCCCAGCAGCAAACTTATAAGAGTTCCTATTTCCTTTGGGAGGCCAAGGTGGGCGGATCACGAGGTCGGGAGATGAGACCATCCTTGCTAACACAGTGAAACCCTGCCTCTACTAAAAATACAAACAATTAGCCGGGCGTTGTGGTGGGCGCTTGTAGTCCCAGCTACTCGGGAGGCTGAGGCAGGAGAATGGCCTGAACCTGGGAGGCGGAGCTTGCAGTGAGCGGAGATCGCGCCACTCGCTCCAGCCTGGGCGACAAAGCGAGACTGTCTCAAAAAACAAACAAACAAACAAACAAACAAAGTTTCTATTTCTCCAAATTCTTGTCAACTCTTGTTAGTGTCCATCTTTTTTTTTTATCTTAGTAGGTATGAAGTGGTTCTCATTGTAGGGGTTTTCTTTCTTGTATTTTATTCTTATTTTTAGAGCAGTTTTAGTTTTTTTTTGTTTTTGTTTTTGTTTTTTTAATTGATAGGAGAGTACAGGGAGTTCGCATATACCTTCTCTCCCTGGGCACACAATTTCCCTTACTGTTTTTTTTTCTTTTTTTTTTCGAGATGGAGTCTCACTCTGTCGCCCAGGCTGGAGTGCAGTGGCGTGATCTCAGCTCACTGCAACCTCCACCTCACGGATTCAAGCGATTCTCCTGCCTCAGCCTCCCAAGTAGCTGGGATTACAGGCGTGTGCCACCATGCCTGGCTAATTTTTGTATTTTTAGTAGAGACGGGGTTTCACCATGTTGGTCAGGCTGGTCTCAATCTCCTGAACTCGTGATCCTCCCACCTCAGCCTCCCAAAGTGCTAGGATTACAGGCATGAGCCACCAGGCCTGGCCCTTTTTTTTTTTTTTTGACAGGGTTTCACTCTGTTGCTCAGGCTGGGGTACAGTGATGTGATCATGGCTCACTGCAGCCTCAACCTCCTGGGCTCAGGTGATCTTCCCACCTCAGCTTCCTGAGTAGTGGGGACCACAGATGCAAGCCACCATGCCTGGCTAATTTTTAAATTTTTTGTGGAGATAGGAGTTCACCATGTTGCCTAGGCTGGTCTCAAACTTCTGGATTCAAGCGATCCCCTCGCCTGTAGTCTGTTTTGAATTAATTTTGGTATATGGTGTGAGGTAGTCACCTAACTTCATTTTTTGGCAAGCATGTATCCAGTAGTCCCAAAACAATTTGTTGAAGGGACCATTTTTCCCCATTCAATTGTCTTGGCACCCTCACTGAAAATCAGTAGACCACACACAAAAAGGCTGCTTTCTGAACTTTCAATTCTATTCTATGGTAGAAAGGAAAAGGGGATGATAAGATTTATTTTTGAATATCAACATAATATGTTTCTCTTTGGTTAGTTGTTTACTTGGTATGTTTTTCTAACTTCTTTTTTTTTTGAGACGGAATTTTCTCTCTTGTTGCTCAGGCTGGAGTGCAATGGCACGATCTCGGCTCACTGCAACCTCCACCTCCCAGGTTCAAGAGACTCTCCTGCCTCAGCCTCCCGAGTAACTGGGATTACAGGCATGCGCCACCATGCCCGGCTAGTTTTGTACTTTTAGTAGAGACGGGGTTTCTCCATGTTGGTCTGGCTGGTCTCAAACTCTTGACCTTGTGATCTGCCCACCTCGGCCTCCCAAAATGCTAGGATTACAGGCATGAGCCACCACCCCCGGCCCTGTTTTATTCCATTTTGTCCTTAAATTTAAATCTTGTGTCTTTTTTTTTTTTTTTTTTTTGAGACAGAGTCTCACACTGTTGCCCGGGCTGGTGTGCAATGACGCGATCTCTGCTCACTGCAACCTCTGCCTCAAACTTCTGGGCTCAAACTCCTGGGCTCAAGCCATCCCGTGGCCTCAGCCTCCCAAAGTGCTGGGATTATAGGTGTGAGCTACTACACCCAGCCAGGAAGTCCTTTCTCAGCTTAAAGCTCAGAAGTCATAAAATAAGTGATTTCTAAATTTCACTATATAAAAATTAAACATCAGACTAATTCTTTTAGTAGATAAAGAATTCGAACAAATCAGCAAGTAAAAGGCCTATAGTCAATAAAATAATAGGCAAAAATGTAGACAGTTCACAGAAAAGAAAATACAAATGTCTTTTAGTATATAAAAACTTCATCCTCTAATAAGACAAGTGAAAAGCATACTACTGTGAGATATTCCTTTCACCTCTCAGAATGGCAAAGTTAAAAAAATTTTGATAATACACCGCGGACCAGGGTGTGGCAATGCATTTTTGGCAGCAGTGCAAATTGGTAAAATTGCATTGAGGTCATTTTGGCAGTAGCCATCAACATCCCAGTATTTTATTTTCTTTTATTTTTTTTGAGACAGAGTCTCACTCTGTCACCCAGGCTGGAATGCAGTGGCGCAATCTCAAATCACTGCAACTTCGGCCTCCCAAGTTCAAGCAATTCTTCTGCTGCAGCCTCCCAAGTAGCTGGGATTATAGGTGGGCACCACCATGCCCAGCGAATTTTTCTATTTTTAGTAGAGACAGGGTTTCACCATGTTGGCCAGGGTGGTCTTGAACTCCTGACCTCAGGTGATCCGCCCGCCTTGGCCTCCCAGAGTGCTGGGATTACAGGCATGAGCCACCACACCTGGCCCAATATCCCAGTACTTCAGATGCAGCAATTCTGTTTTTAGCATTTTTATGCCACAGATTTGCCCACACACAGGCACAAAGGTGTATATGGAAGGGTAA
The DNA here is from genome assembly GCF_000001405.40 of Homo sapiens. Taxonomy (NCBI): domain Eukaryota; kingdom Metazoa; phylum Chordata; class Mammalia; order Primates; family Hominidae; genus Homo; species Homo sapiens. Next base: position 27,187,403 of record NC_000002.12, on the reverse strand, counting down.
TTATTACAAGGTTCTTTTTGTCCTAAAAAAATAATAACAAATTAGAAGTAAAATGACATGTCTGTCTCAGACTGTATTCTTGGTTGCAAGTGGCAGATGTGACTCTGGTTGGTGAGCTGAAAGTGACTTACTATAGAGACAGGTGTTGAGAGGGATGGAGCATAGACTTGATGCTAAACCTCAAGAAATAAAGCCACGAACCACATATAGAAATAGCCAGATGAAGAAAACACCCGGAATGTTGAGCTGCCACCAAGAACTCTAAGCGGCAATTTGGACTGCTGTCAAGAACTTGACTGTAGCCACAACTGTAACTCATGCTGGTGCCACCAATGTCCCTTCTGCAGCAGGAACTTGCTTTGTAGCCCCTACTGCTCTCAAAGCTATAGCTTGTGGTGCACCCTTGCCAGCAAAATGGATGCCCTGCCCACGGCCCATTTCCTCCTAGGGACCACTTCTGATTTGGAGACTGGCAAAGGTGCAACTGGACAGATCCGGGGAGCTTCAAAGGAGACTGGAGAGTGACTTTTTCTAAAAACATTAGAAGCATTCCAAAGGAGCTGGTGAGGCAAGAAACATGACGCATGTCCATCACACTGTCTATCAATAGGATATTGGCTAATACCTTGTGGCACATCCATGCATCAGAACCCCAGGCAGCCCTTGAACAGAATGAGATAGTTTTAACAGTGATGATGTGTGAGAATCTCCAAGATTTGGCCAATGTGTATTATGTTCTACCATTGGTATTAAAAAGGGAGCTATACATATTTATATGGTTGTCCACATATACAAAACCCTAGAAGGATATGCAAGAATCTGATAATAATGGTTGTTTCTAGAGAAGAGAAAAGGGAGCCTAGAAGGGAAGGGAGACTTACTGGTGTGAATTCTATATATGCTGTGTATATATATAATCTATGCAAAATTTTTTAAAATAAAATGTTTGTGGCCAGGCTTGGTGGTGGCTCACACCTGTAATCCTAGCAGTTTGGGAGGCCAAGGTGGGTGGATCACCTGAGGTCAAGAGTTGGAGACCAGCCTGTCCAATATGGTGAAACCTCATCTCTACTAAAAATACAAAAATTAGCTGGGCATGGTGATGGGCGCCTGTAATCCCAGCTACTTGGGAGGCTGAGGCAGGAGAATCGCTTGAACCCAGTAGGCAGAGATTGCAGGGAGCCAAGATGGCACCATTCCACTTCAGCCTGAGCAACAAAGCAAAAACTCCTTCTCAAAAAAAAAAAAAAAAAAAGTTTGCCATATGTCAGAATTGTGCTGTTAAACATTTGATAAATCGCATTCATTTTAGAATGTTTAGAAATAAAACAAATGAACAGTGAGTACTATCCACACTGTGATCAAAAGTGACAGCACAGATGCCATAGATGCTAATGATATCTCAGGATCACCAACCCCAGCTTCTGGGCTAAAGGTTGCCCTTCTCATGTCTACAATTGTGAAACAGCAGCCATCTGTCCCACAGAATCGGCCTGCCTGGCTAGCACTTCCTCATGAAGCCAGTTCAGATCTCTGAAGCTGTCAATGACAGCAAGGACACTGAGAACTGTTAACAAGAACAGCCAATCCATCCTGTCTCCTGCCCACTTCTCAAAGTCTGTGGGAGGGTTTCTGTGATTCCTAAACCGTGAGAAGTTGAGAAAGACTCGTGCAACACTTTTGGGCCAGTGGATCTCATAATAAAATAATTTTGTTTATTTGAGTGAGATAAGTTTCTTTAGCCGAGTTCTGGATCTACTAACCACAGCAATTTAATACTTGTTGAGTGAGCTTCAAAAACTTTCAGCTAAATCATTGAGGGTGCTTTCAGCAGCACAAACAGAACACCCAAGTAAAAGTGACTCAAACAGTGAGGACATTCATTATTTCCCATAAAAGTCCTGGAAAAGAGAATTCCAGAGCTGCCTAATTCAGAAGTTCCACAATGTCAGAGTTCTGGCTCAGTCTCTCTGACTTTCTCGTGACTTTCCCTTCCCGGTGATAAGATGATCTCTGCTGTTCCCAGCACCATATCTTCACATGATGATCATTGAAGGCAGGAAGCATAAGGAACTTTCCACACACTCTCTCTGTTTTTAATCAGGGAAGAAAATCTTTCCCAGAAGCCCCTGGAAGATTTCTCCTCTGCTCCAATTGGTCAGAACTGTGTTATAAGCCCACTCCCAAACTAATCACTAGCAAGGAGGAGAGGATTACCACTTGGCTTAATCGAAGCTCATCCTCAGTGCCTGGGGTTGCCTATTCATTGTTTATCTGAAATTCAGTTTTAATTGGGCATCCTGTATTTTTATTGCTAAATCTGGCCAACCCTATTGGGGGATGCACCTCCATCTTTTCAAGGCAGTTCCAGTTTACACAGCCCAGCATTTTCACATGAGCCTAAGGGTGGCTAGTGTCGTGTGTGTGTGTGTGTGTGTTTCGGAGGCAGTGGTTGGGGGTGGGGTTGGGAGGGAGGCAGTGGGGGGAGATCCAAGATCATAGTTTTACAATATTACAGAATAAAATAAAAATTCTCAGAGTCAGCTGGCTAAGATGAACAGGGACAACGTTTTTAAAACTAAGATGTGTGTAGGGCATGTTACCAGTTTACATTTGTGCCATCCAAAATTTTAAAAACCACCACCTAATAATGTTCTTTAGCTTGGCTGCAGCACTCAAAGGAGAATGAAACACAGGCCAGCTGCTTCCTGAGACCCTGGAGTTATCTCTGTTTGGAAGACACTTAATTGAGTATGACTGCCTTTTCAAAGACCCCTTAGGATTGAAGATCAAGGTGCTGTAGAAATGATCAGGGGGAAAGAGAATGTTTCCTATGGGAGTCAATGCTATTTCAACACTATTTTTATGAGTTTCCATAAGGGGGTGATTACGATATAGGTAATGAAAAGGCATTTTTGGGTGCTGATTATATGTGTGAATACTGGGATGCTACTCATAGACATACAGAAACCCACAACTCTTTTGCCAGGTTGCTAGCTTACCACTGTCAGTGGGCTGCCCCAGCTCTCACAGCCCCCGTGTAAAACCACTTGTCTGTCAGACTGTGTGAACTCTGTTTCATCACAGCCCAAGTAGCACTGGCAATTCTGGCAGCTGGACTGGAAACCATGTGGCAATCCTTTTAAGTGTGTCTCCCTTGGAACAGAAAAATCCAATGGCTTTCATGGAGACAATTATTGGGAACGTGACTGGTAAACACCTATATTTTCTGTCAGAGAACCTGGCCCCAGAGATAAACTTATATGCATTCATGAGAAAGTAGTATTCGTTTGCTAAACTATATTTATGTTGTAGACTTGATTAAAGAAGAGCTTGTGTAAGTAAACACAAAAGACTGAATATGCATTTATCTGTTCCCTCCCAAATCCCCACTGTAATAACAGTAAAGAAATAAAAGGACCATAAACTCACAGGGTTAAAGAGAAGGGAAAAATATGACAGAAGTCAAAATATGTCAACACAATTTTGGAAAATGAAAGCATATGGGCTGTCTTAGTCTGTTTTGTATTACTATAACAGAATACCCGTGACTGCGTGATTTATCAAAAGAAGAAATTTATTTGGCTTGTGGTTCTGGAGGCTGGGAAGTCCAAGATTGAGGGGCCACCTCTGGTGAAGGCCTTCTCTTTTTTTGGCCTTGTCATTCCTATGGTGGAAGGCAGAAGGGCAGGAGAGTCTGTGGTTGCATGTTTGTGTGTGGTTGGGGAGGGAGAGGAGGAGCCAAGAGAGGGCTGAACTCGTTGATCTCATTTTTTTTTTTTTTTTTTTTTTGAGACAGAGTCTCACCCTGTCACCCAGGCTGGAATGCTGTGGTGCGATATCGGCTCACTGCAACCTCTGCCTCCCAGGCTCAAGCAATTCTTGTGCCTCAGCCTCCTGAGTAGCTGGGATTACAGGCGTGCACCATCATACCTGGCTAATTTTGTACTTTTAGTAGAGACGAGGTTTTTCCATGTTGGCCAGGCTGGTCTCAAACTCCTGATCTCAGGTGATCCTCCATGACCTCGGCGTCCCAAAGTGCTGGGATTACAGGCATGAGCCACCACACCCAGCCCTGAACTCACTTTTATAACAAATCCACTCTTGAGATAATGAACCCACTCCCATGATAGTGACATTAATCTATTCATGAGGGCAGACCATCATGACCTAATCATCTTTTAAATGTCTACCTTTCTCTCAAGAATGTTCACCTTTTCTCCTTGAAGAATGATTATAATAACAGCTTTAAAGTCTTTGGTAATCCCAACACTGGGGCTGGCATCTGTTGATTGTCTTTCCCCTTGAGAACTGATAGAACTTATCAGATTTTCCTGGTTCTTTATATTCTGAATATTTTGTTCTGAGGCTCTGAGTTCTGTTATATCTTCTGGATATTGTTGATTTTCTTTTTTTCTTTTCTTTTTCTTTCTTTTTTTTTTTTGTTTTCTGTTTTTTTTTTTCTTACACAGGGTCTAGCTCTGTTGTCAGAGCTAGAGAGCAGTGGCAAGATCTTGGCTCACTGCAACCTCTGCCTCCTTGACTACAAAAGTTCTCCCTCCTCAGCCTCCTGAGTAGCTGGGACCACATGTGCAAGCCACCATGCCTGGCTAATTTTTTTTATTTTTTATGTTTTGGTAGAGATGGAGGTCTCACTTTGTTGCCCAAGCTGGTCTCTAACTCCTGGGCCTAAGCCATCCACCCACCTCGGTGTCCCAAAATGTTGGGATTACAGGCGTGAGCCACAGTGATGAGCTGGTTAATGTTGATTTTCGTTTGTTTCTTTGTTTTAACAGGCCACCCACCCAGCGAGATTCAGACCACAAGTTCTGTCTCATCTTCTATGGATTCCCACATGAGTCAGTTCAGTTTTGGAAGACTTTGCTCTGCTGTTTGGGTCTGTTCCTTCATGTACCACTCAGGGGTTGGTCTGGGACTTGGATGTTGATTTATATTTACATTTTAGTTTCATTCTCAGAGCCTTTGCTATGCATCTTTGGGCATGTTCTGCACATGCATAGTTTAGGGGTGAACCTTGGAACTTAGATTAGTTTTTACACAGAATTTGAGATATTCTTCTCCAGCTGTCTCGTCTCAGGGATTTCCACGTCACAAATAAACAAATGAATAGAATAACATTTCAAATAATACCCAACAGGTTTTGGGGAGAGGGAGAGAGAACTGAACTAAATGTTTTGAAGACTTATATGGAAGAATAAGTCTGAGAATAGATGGACACATATTATAGAAGAATAGTGAGGTGGTCTTTGCCTTACTATATGGTAGAACAGATAGATGAGTAGTACACGGGAAAGTCCAGAAACAGATGTAAACATGGAGAGAGAATGAGTATCTGACAAGGTAGCACTTAAATTCATGCCAAGGCTGGAAACAAAGCAAATAGATAAACAAAATAATGCTTAATGGGAAAAATATATGTATTTTTTTGACGGTCTCATTCTGTCACCCAGACTGGAGTGCAAGGGCGTGATCTCGGCTCACTGCAACCTCTGCCTCCTGAGTTCAAATGATTCTCCTGCTTCAGCCTCTGGAGAGCTGGGATTACACGTGCCCACCATCATGCCTGGTTAATTTTTGTATTTTTAGTAGGGACAGGGTTTCACCATGTTGGTCAGGCTGTTCTTGAAGTCGTGACCTCAGGTGATCCGTCTACCTTGGCCTCCCAAAGTGTTGAGATTATAGGCATTAGCCACCATGCTCGGCCACTGTGCTGGTCTTGAAACATCTTTTGAAGACAGGGATCTTTGTGACAGGAGAGGTATATTACTCTTTAAAGGTCGGGGGCATGCATGAAGCTCCACACTTGTGGAGATGAGGTTGCCACGAGCTCTTTCTTTTCGCAAGGCTGGACTGGACAAGCAGTTGCAACAATTCAAAGTTCCTAGGACACATAGGGACAAGTTTTTAGCACCATTAGAAGTCAGTGTCAGGCCGGGCATGGTGGGTCACGCCTGTAATCCCAGCACTTTGGGAGGCTGAGGCGGGCAGATCATCTGAGGTCAGGAGTCTGAGACCAGCCTGGTCAGCGTGGTGAAATCTCATCTCTACTGGAAATATACAGATTAGCTGGGCATGGTGGAACACGCCTGTAATCCCAGCTACTTGGGAGGCTGAGGGAGGAGAATTGCTTGAACCTGGGAGGTGGAGGTTGCTGTGAGCTGAGATCACACCTCTGCACTCCAGACTGGGCGAAAGAGCGAGACTCTGTCTCAAAAAAAAAAAAAAGAAAAAAGTCAGTGTCCCACAGGATGACTTCCTGACAGAAGCCTGTTCTTGAGGCAAAGACAGTTGGCTCTTCCAAGTAGGAAAAATGGTTCTTGGGGAGTGGCCATCAGATGTGGCTGAGTTCATGTCTGCCCACTAGCATCTTTAGGTTCTTTCAGGCATCATGGAAAACTAGAAATGCATCTGCAGATTGGTCCAGGGGGTACAAAAGACAAATCAGAGAGTTAACTGTGGTTGGTCTAAAGGTCTTGTTTTGATTTTGCAAGCCACGTATTTGGGATTCCTTCATTGATCATGTGGTGTCACTTGCTTGGTCAGAACATGTTTTAAGTGATAGAAAGGATACTAAATTCTGATGCTGGAAATGTTTAGTGAGAGCATTTTTCTTTCACCTCCATTCCCTTCTGTGCCTCGCAGGTCATCCACCATGTTCATACATTTTGCATGAGATAAACTCATTGTTTGTGTTGCCAGGAAGATTCCCATTAGCAGAATATTTGGGAAATGTGTCGTAACATCCTGAATGAGGGTTGCCAAACAACCATTGCGCCCGATTATTTTTTCTGGCACTTTAGATACTTTTTTTTTTTTTTTTTTTTTGAGACAGAGTATCACTGTCGCCCAGGCTGGAGTGCAGTGGAGTGATCTCGGCTCACTGCAACCTCCATTTCCCGGGTTCAAGCGATTCTCCTGCCTCAGCCTCCCAAGTAGCTGGGATTACAGGCAACTGCCACCATGCCTGGTTAAATTTTGTATTTTTAATAGAGATGGGGTTTCACCATGTTGGGCAGGCTGGTCTCGAATGCCTGACCTCGGGTCATTCACCTGCCTGGGCCTCCCAAAGTGCTGGGATTATAGGGGTGAGCCACGAAGCCCAGCCTAGATACTCTTTAATCACCTTTCCAATGTAAAAAAAAAATTCTCTTCAAATTAGTTTTTCTCCAAAATTGACACTCATGCCAGGATATGGACACACACAAAATATTGCTGCAATTGAACATACAAGGACTCAGTAGCCATAAGGGTGCATTTCAAAACTTTTGGATACTTTTTAAAAACAGTACTCTGTTTTTTTAGCTACTTTGCCTCTTTTCATATGTAATGTTCCTTTGTGCATAACTATCTTTGTTGGTTCAGCTTCTCAAACTGAGCAGTGGTTAATTGTGGGTCTTTCAAGCTGTCCAAATTGACATTTGATGTCATATCCAACGTTCAAATAAGAATCCTTGTACTGACTGGGTAAAGAGGCTCATGCCTGTAATCCCAGCACTTTGTGAGGCCGAGGTGGGAGGTTTGCTTGAGCCCAGGAGTTTGAGACCAGCCTGGGCAACATAGTGAGACCTCATCTCTACTAGAAATTAAACAAAAAAATTATCCAGGCTAGGGCAGAAGAGGTCAAGGCTGCAGTGAACCATGATTACACCACTACACTCCAGCCTGGGTGACAGAGCAAGATTCTGTCTCAAAAAAAAAACAAAAACGAAACAAAACAAAACAAAGAAAAAAGAAAAAAAATGAAACCAAAAAAAGAATTCTTGTATATTGATCACACTCTTACCAGCTTCTATGACTTAGGGCAACAGAAACAAATCTGAAGGTGTTCCCCTTTTGGCACTTTGTGAGTTCCCTGCCCCCTGCCCCAAATCAGACAAAGACATCACAAGAAAAGAAATCTACAGAACATCATCCCCTATGAATACAGTGCAAAAATATTCAAAAATATTAGTAAACAAAAACTAGCAGCTTGGCTGAACACAGGTTCTAAAAACAAACAAAACAAAACAAAAAACAACAAAAAAACACTAGCAGCACACAAAAAGGGTTTTACACCATGACTAAGTGGGATTTATCCCAGGATTGCAACTGTGGTTCAGCATATGCAAATCAATTAATGTGCTATGCCACATTAATGAAATGAAGGGGTGAAACCATATGATCATCTTAATAGATGCAGATAAAGCATTTTACAAAATCCAACACCCTTTCATGATAAAAACACTCAACAAACTAAGAATAGAAGGGACATTCCTCAACCTGATGAAAGGCACTTATGAAAAACTCACAGTTAATACTATTATAATTAATGATGAAAGACTGAAGTTTTCTCCCTAAGATCAGGAATAAAACAAAGATGCCTATTGCTGTCACTTTTATTCAACCTTGTACTGGCAGTTCTAGCCAGAACAATTAGGCAAGAAAAATATATATAGAAGTCATCCAAATTGGAAAGGAAGAAGTAAAACCACCTGCATTTGCATACAACATGATTTTGTATATAGAAAATCCCAAAGAATACACCAAAAATACTATTAGAACTAAGAAACAGGCCGGGCAGGTAGCTCACACCTGTAATCCCAGAACTTTGAGAGGTGGAGATGGGTGGATAACTTGAGATCAAGAGTTTGAGACCAGCCTGGGCAACAAGCAAGACTCCATTTCTACAAAAAAAAATTTGAAAATCAGCTGGGCATAGTGGCGCACACCTGTAATCCCAGCTACTCTGGAGGCTGAGATGGGAGGATTGCTTGAGCCCAGGAGGTGGAGGCTGCAGTGAGCTGAGATCACACTATTGCATTCCAACCTGGGTGACAGAGGGATACCCTGTCTCAAAAAACAAAAAAAGAAGAAAAAAATTAGTAATACAGTTACTTATATAGCATATTTTTGTCTTAAAATTACGTCAGGAAGTTTTTATTTCTATATTATTCCAATAAAAACAGATGCATGAGAAGAAGCACCCCCTTTTCTCCTGTTCTCCTTTGCTGGATCAAGTCATATCTTCACATATTGTCTGGAATTGCTACAGCTATTTTGAAACCCAAAGTGAAAGCATCATCAACCTGCTGAGGATAGCAAGGCAGAAAGACAAATTCATCGGTGGACCTGGATCTGTGATGACTTCATCAAGGCTCTGAGCCAATCGTGGACCACCTGGCCTCCAGACATCATCTTATGTGAAATGATGGCTGTCCTTATTGTGTAAGCTATTTGGTTTGAGTATGTTCTGCCTAGCAGCTAGAAGCGTCCAACTGATGCCAATGCTTCTGGTAAAAGTTGTGATTAAAGCAGATAACGGTGTTAGCTGACGTGCTGATAAAATCGGAATCAGTACATGGCCAAGTCATGGATCTGGTGGAAAGTATTCAAATAGATCAATGCATGCTTGGTGATGCTGGTGCCTGTCATCATAAACATCCATCCAGGCCATCATGATCACCTCCGAATGGTACAGGACTAAAGTCCAATTCAGGATCTACACACCCTGCTTATAATAATGCCCTAACTTCCTTTGAAGATGAAACGCATTTCTCTGTGTTCTTTGAACTATTGTACAGAAAAACTTCCCCAGGAAACTCTTTGAACTCATATTTGTTTGTTTCTCATTAAACAAAACAAAAAAAAAATTGGCCAGGTGCGGTTGTTCATGCCTGTAATCTCAGCACTTTGGGGAGCTGAGGCGGGCGGATTGCTGAGCCCAGGAGTTCAAGGCCAGCCTGGGCAACATGATGAAACACTGTTTCTACTAAAAAATACAAAAATTAGCCGCGTGTGGTGGCATGTGCCTGTAGTCCCAGGTACAGGAGGGAGGCTACAGGAGGCTGAGGTGAGAGGATCACTTGAGCCCAGGAGCCAGAGGTTGCAGTGAGCCGCGATCACACCACTGTACTCCAGCCTGTGCAACAGAGTGAGACTGTCTCATAAAGATAAAAAATTTAAAAACTGGCCAGGTGTGGTGGCTCATGTCTGTAATCCTACCACTTTGGAAGGCTGATGTGGGCAGATCGCCTGAGGTCAGGAGTTTGAGACCAGCCTGGCCAACATGGTGAACCCCTCTCTCTACTAAAAATACAAAAATTAGCCGGGCATGGTGGTGCATGCCTGTAGTCCCAGCTACTCAAGAGGCTGAGTCAGGAGAATCGCTTGAACCTGAGATGCAGAGGTTGCAGTGAGCCGAGATTGCATCACTGCACTCCAGCCTAGGTGACAGGACGAGACTCTGTCTCAAAAAAAAAAAAAAAAAAAATTAAAAAACTAAAAAAAATTATACATTTCATATAGTTTACAAGTCAAATAACCTAAAAAGGCATACACTTGAAAGATTCACTCTCTTGGTGGTGTGTGGCGCCTGTAGTCCCAGCTACTTGGGAGGGTGAGACAGAAGGACTGCTTGAGCCCAGGAGTTCAAGGCTGCAGTGAGCTGTGATAATGCCACTGCACTCTAGCCTGGGCAACATAGTAAGACCTCATCTCAAAAAAAAAAAAAAAAAAACAAGACTCACTTTCACCTTATCCCCCATCTGCTCCAGTTTCCACTAGAACAAGTAACTGCTTTTTATTGTTTTGTGTGTGTGTGTGTGTGTGTGTGTGTGTGTGTGTGTATCTTATGCAAATAAAACAGAAATGATGTATGATCTGGTAGCATAAAATACACACTGCTTTGTACTTTTCGTCTTATCCATTTAAAATCTCTTTTCACATTACTGTCACAGCAAAATATGAGAAAGAACTGTTTCCCATAGAGCATGTTGTCAAACTTTGAGTTTTTATCCATATGATAGGTGAGATGGGTTTTTTTTGTTTTGTTTTGTTTTGTTTTGTTTTTAGAAGGAGTCTCACTCTGTCACCCAGGCTGGAGTTCGGTGGCATGATCGCAACTCACTGCAACCTCCACCTCCCAGGTTCAAGTGATTCTCCTGCCTCAGCCTCCCAAGTAGCTGGGGCTGCAGGTGCGCGCCACTGTGCCCAGCTAATTTTTGTATTTTTAGTAAAGACAGGGTTTCGTCGTGGTCGCCAGGCTGGTCTTGAACTCCTGACCTCAAGTGATCCACCCGTCTCAGCCTCCAAATGTGCTGAGAATTACAGGTGTGAGCCACTGTGCCTGGCTATGAGACAGTATTTCAGTGTAGCTTTAATCTACACTTCCCTTTATTATTAATGAGCTGGCCTCTCTCTTTGTGTTGCTAACTGGCCATTTGTATTCCCTTCCTGAGATCTGTCTGTTTATATTCTTTCTCCATTTTTCTATGGGGTTTTGGTCTTTTTCTTAATGATTTCTAGGAGCTCTTTAAATATTAGGGAGATTATCCCTATGTTTATGACCTGAGCTCAAATACTGTTGTCCAGTCTGACACTTGCCTTTTGATTATGCTGATAGTGATTTTTGCCTTGCTGATTTTCTTCACACTATTTTTAGGTTTAGAAGTAGAACAGGGAGGGCTGGGTGTGGTGGCTCATGCCTGTAGTCACAACACTTTTGGAGGCCAAGGCTGGTGGATCACCTGAGGTCGGGAGTTCGAGACCAGCCTGACCAACATGGAGAAACCCCATCTCTATTAAAAACACAAAATTAGCCAGGCGTGGTGGCACACGCCTGTAATCCCAGCTACTCGGGACGCTGAGGCAGGAGAATCCCTTGAACCCGGAAGGCGGACGTTTCAGTGAGCCGAGATCGCACCATTGCACTCCAGCCTGGGCAACAAGAGCGAAACTCCATCTCAAAACAAAGACAAACAAAAAAAAGAAGTAGAACGGGGAGAAGGAGCCAGGAAGAAGACTGAGTTGATTAGGAAACCTAGAGAAGTGTTTCAAGAAGGATGGAGCTGGGAGTAATGCCAGAGGCCAAAGTGGAAGGATTGCTTGAGGCCAGGAGTGAGCTGCCAGGCTGTACTGAGCTATGATCACACCACTGCACTCCAGCCTGGGCGACAGAGTAAGGTCCTGTCTCTCAAAAGAAAAAAAAAAAAAGGAAAGAAGAGAAAAGATGGAGTAGTGAAATCAAATGATGCCCAAAACACAAAAACATAGCGACACAAGACCACAGAAATCGACATCAGCTTTGGCAAAAGGGAGGCCACCAATAACCTTACCAGTGCTGTTGTAGGAGTGAGCTGGAGATGGGCTCTTGATTGGAGTGAGTGAGTGAGGAAAGACAATGGAGACAGCAATAATAGAGAGCACTTAAATTTTTTTGCTATGCAGCAGGCCAGGGAAATGTGGTGGTAGTTAAGGTGGGGAAGTGGGGTCAGGAGTTTTGTTTAATGGGAGATGCCATGCTAGAGAGTGTTTGCATGCTAATATACGTGAGAGAAATGATCCAGTGGAGGGCGAGAAGCTGAGGATGCAGAAGGCAGAGGGAATAATTTTAGGAGTGAGGCCCTTTGGAAGAGCAAGAGGGGGTGGGATTCTGGCCCCAGAAAAGAACAGGCCTCTGGTGGGAAGGGGCGCATCACCCATGGTGAGCCTGGACACGCCAGCTGGGAAATGGGTAGCTGTGGTAACAGCCACATTGCACCTTGGTGAAATCATAGCTCACTGCAGCCTGGCGCCACCATAGCTCACTGCAGCCTTGTGCGACCACAGCTCACTGCAGCCTGTCTGAAAACAGGGGATTACTGCCTGATTGCTCTTGTTTTTGTCATGAAGTACGTGGTGATGGCAAGCTGAGAGGTTCTGAGGAGAAAAAAGAAGGCGAGAAATAAATGTGTTAGAATGTAAGAAAGAAAACATATCAGGGAAGATTGCCACAGAGTGTTGAGTGCCTATTTGAGATTTTTGGTTGAGAATTTTGAGGCAGGCCAGTGAACACAATCGTGTATTCATTTCCAGCAGTGTTCAGATGAAGTGTAGAGTGGGAAGACCGTGCAGGGTCGGGATGTTGCAACGCAAAAACAGTGGGAGAGGAGGGGTAAGGGATAAGGATATTTGCAAAGGAGCAATTACAACAATGAACATAGAATCTGGGATGAATAAAGAGGAAGTAAGGACACGAGGGAAGATGGTTAGTAAGACAGAAGGAAGCAAATGAATTAAAGGTCTCAAGAAGACTGAAGAAATACTGGACTGCAGGCATGAGACTGAGATGGAAGGATAAGACATAGGGATCACAATATCCAATCAGAATGCTTAAAATAGAGATTCTGAGAATGGTGTATTATTGGTTTTGACAAGGTTAAGGGCATGACCATAGAAATGGGTGGCTGAAGAGAGAAAATAGAAAATTGCATTTGAGGAGGTCAGAATCTAAGATGCCAAGATGTTGGATAAATCATCCATTTGAGTGTTGAAACCAAAAAAATGATGACAAGAATAGGATAGAGAGAAAGACAGTCAGATGATAAAATCTTCAATGAAAGACAGGGAATGACTCAGAATTTAGTAGAAGTTGCCACCAACAAAGGATATTGGGGGACAAACCAGAGGGTACAAACTCTAAAGCCCCTGGTGTTTTTGAAATAGAAGGGAGAAGAAATCATTGAAAAGCAGCAATGAGGAGTCGGATGGACACTTACTTCCACGCCCACAAAATCCTGGGTTTGACTCTCCTTGGCATAAATGGGGTCGTGTCTAAATCGAGATCTGGGGTGCAGTTCGTCCCTCTCAAACCACACGGACTTAGCTGGGAGAGGACATTGAGATATTATTGCTAGAAGGGGAGGAAAATCTTATAGTGTGTTAATTTCTTGTACAGTTTTGTGTTGATGCTAAAAAACATTTCCGTTACTTCTTTTGGTTCGGTCTCATTAAAAACCACTTGTTTGAGTTGTTCGGTTTAGTTTTCCTTCTGCAGATTATTGAGTCATTTAAATGGATTGTAGTTTTCTCTAACTTACTAACGATGGGATATTCCCATTCAGAACAGGCAGCCAGGGTCTCTTGGACCAGGGTGAAACACCAGGAATTGGAAGATGAATGTTTCATCCTGGTGGGACGCAGCTAAAAAGCTGCCCCGTCATGACCCTCCACTGTCTGGGGAAGGGGTCTCCCTGAGTGGATGCACTGGGGAGCTCATGAATCAGTCAGAGCAGTCCCTCCTCTTGTCTGTGTGGCAGCATGGGGGACCCTCCCAAGATACAGCGAGTGGTGGGGCAGCCCCTTGGAGTTCCCTCTCAGGGGACTCCACGGAGGCCTGCCAGGTGAGTTCCCTCAGGGAACCTGAGGCTTGCAGCCTTTGTCCCAGACTTCCAGGAGAGGAAAAGTTGTCTCCACTGTGATCCTTGCGTTCATGCTCAGGGGCATAAAAAAGAAAGTGGCATATGGATCTTGAGAGAAGGCGTGGCCTGAGGCACCGCTAGAATGTTCACTCTGGCTGTTCCATGGCTCCTGTGAGGATGTCAGGAAAGGTAGGGGATGAAGAGTACATGCAGGCCAGCATCTTCCCATCCCTGCACATCTGACTGGTGTTTTTTTGTTTTTTTTTTGAGTTGGAGTTTCACTCTTTCACCCAGGCTGGAGTGTAGTGGCGTGATCTTGGCTCACTGCAACTTCTGCCTTCCAGTTTCAAGTGATTCTCCTGCCTCAGCTTCCCGAATAGCTGGGGCTACAGGCACGTGCCACCACGCTTGGCTAATTTTTGTATTTTTAGTAGAGACGACATTTCACCATGTTGGCCAGGCTGGTCTCGAATGCCTGATCTTGTGATCTGCCCGCCGATCTGCCCGCCTCGGCCTCCCAAAGTGCTGGGATTACAGGCGTGAGCCACTGTGCTCAGCCCTGACTGGTCTTTAATGGAGCCTACAGACAAGCTGCACGTGGTGCCCTGCAGACCACACCTACCCCTCAGCCATACCCCAGCACCCACGGGAGACTCAATTCCCCTTTCAGATCTAACAGGTATTGGAAAGAGGAAGCATTGTGCAGTGGCACTTCAGAAAAATCCATGTAGGTCCTTAAAAGAAGCAAGAAAGGGAGCTGATAACACTAGTTTTTCCTGAGGGAGATATGATAGCCAGGCTACACAACCAGGATCCCAGGAGTTATCTGGTCCAGATCTGGAAGTGACATGATGTACCGCTGTCGCAGGTATAACATGAATGCCTGCTGAATACATTTGACAATGCAAAGATAAGACATCAAGCCAGGAGATCTTCTGGATAATAGAGACTACTCTGCCCCAAGATAGGCACAGCCAAGCCCCAGCCTGGATAGTATTCATGAGGGCCTTAATGGAAATGAATGGGTCCCACTTAAAAAAATAAATCAGAAAACAAGCTCACTGAATACAACTGGGGTGACAAAAACATGCATCTGAGTGGAGACAGAGGAAATTTCTATCCATTTCTGCCCAATCTAGTGCCTCTGGGCAGAACCAAAAGCCTGGCAAAATCTAGAATTTATACACTACGAAAATCTTAAGAAAATATTCTGGCTCTAAGAATAAATAAAAATAGATTTTAAAATAAGCAGTTTGTGTTCTTCTGCTTTATTTAGACATAGATTTAAATGGTAGGAATCATGTACTTAACCCGGTTAGGAAAATTATATATCACGAGGCGTTTTTTTTGGGTGGGGAGGATGGACTGGGTTTATGATAATTCATAATGTTTGCTACCCACCTGCCAGGGGAAGGACACTGAAAGATCATGGCCCATCAAGGCCTTAGGTCATGCTGCTCTGCTTGCAAATTGCACAACTTTCCTGTTAATTTGCGGGGCAACTTTTGCACACATGTTTACAATCTGGTTAAAGAATCAGCCCTTGCAATGATGTCATTAAACGCACACAGACACAATGGTGCCATAGTAACAACAAGGTGCCTCTGAGCCAGGTGCATTGGCTCACGCCTGTAGTCCCAACACGTTGGGAGACCGAGGAGGGAGGATCCCTTGAGCCTAGGAGTTCGAGACCAGCCTAAGCAATATAGTGAGATTCCGTCTCTACAAAAAAATTAAAAAATAAAAAATCAACTGGGCATGGTGGTGCCCCTGTAGTTCCAGCTACTCAGGAGACTAACGTGGGAGGATCACTTGAGCCTGGGAGGTTAAGTCTGCAGTGAGCTGTGATTGTGCCTTGGGGGCAACAGAGCAACACCTCGTCTCAAAAAAAAAAAAAAAAAAAAAGTGCCTCTGGAGCTGGAAATTTTCAAGTTCAGTTGCTCCAGCAACTGGGGAGGGTCATGAAGACTATAGGAAAGACACTACTGTTCCCATGCACATTCACAGGAGAGAAAAAAAAGTCCAGCAAGTACCATGTTCATAAAGATTGGCCTGACCCTAGCTGTCCCATGGCAAACAGTCACACCCAAGACTCTCAGCTTTCTTTGGCTCTGATTTGTTTCTGTAACCATGCCAAGATGCCAAGGACAATCAACCAAGCAAGGCTGTGAGGATCTGCAAACTATTGCAGCCCTCAGATTCCCTACTTAAAAGGGAAATAACTGGGCATGGTGGCACGCACCTGTAGTACCAGCTACTTGGGAGGCTGAGGTGGGAGGATCCCTTGAGTTTAGGAGTTTGAGGCTGCAGTGAGCTGATTGTGCCACTACACTCCAGCCTGGGTGACAGAGCGAGACCCCCCTCTCAAAATAAAAATAAAAATAAGAAAAGGGAAGTAATACTGTATGTAGTCCAGAAACAGGTCAGACGCCAAAAGAATCTTATCTGGGCTGTTGTATGAGTCAGGGTCCAATTAGGAACATAAAAACCACACCAGTTATTATAACAGAGGGAATTTAACGGTAAGGACTGCAAAGGCAAAAGACAAATTCCAAGGAACAGAGAGGTGGCAACTGAAGGACGTAGAGCGGTGGAGTTAATGAAAGAAAAAGGTGGGAGTTACTGGAACCTAGAAGCTTGGAGGAGCCCTGCCGAGGTGGAACTCAGGC
Organism: Homo sapiens; assembly: GCF_000001405.40. Taxonomy (NCBI): domain Eukaryota; kingdom Metazoa; phylum Chordata; class Mammalia; order Primates; family Hominidae; genus Homo; species Homo sapiens. The sequence continues at coordinate 27,170,557 of NC_000002.12, read as the reverse complement.
TTCAGAACACAGAGTGCTGTATAACTGGTGCTGGCATCTTTGAAGGGGCAGGCTAAAGGCTTGTACTTTTTTTTTTTTTTTAATTGAGACGGAGTTTCGCTCTGTTGCCCAGGTTGGAGTGCTTTGGTACAATCTTGGCTCACTGCGACCTCTGCCTCCCAGGTTCAAGCGATTCTCCTGCCTCAGTTTCCTGAGTAGCTGGGATGACAGGCACGTGTCACCACGTCCTGCTTATTTTTGTATTTTTAGTAGAGACAGGGTTTCGTTGTGGTCTCCAGGCTGGTCTCCAACTCCTGACCTCAAGTGATCCACCCGCCTCAGCCTCCCAAAGTGCCGGGATTACAGGCGCTAGCCACCGCGCCCAGCCAAGGGTGGTTCTGAGAATGGGGAAAAAGTTGGAAACTTAAACCAAGTGGGGCTGCCGGGTTAAAGAGCTGTTGCCACCTTGATAGGGGGGCGCAAGAAGTAAACTGCAAGAAGCAAATCCCCGCTCCCTCCTCCCGTCTTGCGGGCTTCCTCTAGCACCCTCTATTGGTGGAGCCCAGCGAAGTGCCAGCTGGCAAAGCAGAAAGTGGTTTGCAGAACCTCAGCCCCAGCGCCATAGGAAACAAAAGCAGGGTTCCAGCTTGGGGCTATTACAAATAACGCTGTTATGAGCGCTCTCATGCATATCTTTTTTTTTTTTTTTTTTTTTTGAGACGGAGTCTCACTCTGTCGCCCAGGTTGGAGTGCAGTGGCGCAATCTCAGCTCACTGCAACCTCTGCCTCCCAGGCTCAAGCGATTCTCCTGCCTCAACCTCCTGAGTAGCTGGGACTACAGGCGTGCACCACCACGCCCGGCTTATTTTTTTGTATTTTTAGTAGAGACGGGGTTTCTCCATGTTGGCCAGGCTGATCTAGAACTCCTGACCTCAGGTGATCCGCCCGCCTAGGCCTCCCAAAATGCTGGGATTACAGGCGTGAGCCAAAGCGCCCGGCCTTAGGTGTGTTTATACCCTGGATTTAACAGATACAGATATTAACCATTCTGGTGGGTGTGTTGTAGTATCTCAAGATTTCAATTTGCATTTTTCTAATAACTAATGAAGTTGAGCATGTTCAGCCATTTGGATATCCTCTTTAGAAAGTGCCTGACCAAGGCCAGATGAGGTGGCTCCCGCCTGTAATCCCTGCACTTTGGGAGACTGAGGCAGGAGGATCCCTTGAGCCCAGGAGGTCGAGGTTGCAGTGACCTATGATGGTGCCACTGCACTCCAACCTGAGTGACGCAGAGAGACTCTGTCTCTTTAAAAAAACAAAAACAAAAACAAAAAAACTGTGTTTCTAACCCATTTAGCCATTTACTACTGAATTATCAGTCTCTGTCTTATTGCTCTGTGGGGATTTTTAATACATTCTTGATAGAAGCCCTTTTAAATATGTGAGTTATATGGCAAATAGTATCTTCTCCCAGTCTGTGAACTTGTCTTTTTCACTCTCTCAACGGTATCTTGTGATGAATAGGTGCTCCTAACTTTATGTAGTATAATTTCTCACTCTTTTCCTTTAGAGTTAATGCTTTTTGTGTCTTCTCTAAAAAAATATTTCCCTATTCCAAGGACATGAAGGTCTTCTCTTATAATCTATTCTTCTTTTTATATTTTCCATCTCTTTCTCCCTACGAACTGAAATCTGGTTAATTTCTAAAGATCCGTCTTCTGATTTGCTAGATCTATTTCTTTTTCTTTTTCTTTTCTTTTTTTTTTTTGAGACGGAGTCTCCCTCTGTCGCCCAGGCTGGAGTGCAGTGGCATGATCTTGGCTAACTGCAACTTCCGTTTCCTAGGCTCAAGTGATTCTCCTGCCTGAGCCTCCAGAATAGCTGGGACGACAGGCGTGTGCCACTATGCCCGGCTAATTTTTTTGTATTTTTGGTAGAGATGGGGTTTCACTATATTGCCCAGGCTGGGCTCGAATTCCTGACCTCAACTGACCCGCCCTCCTCAGCCTCCCAAAGTGCTGGGATTATAGGCATGAGCCACTGTGCCCAGGCTGCTAGACCTATTTCTAGCAGTTTCTAATCATCCACTGAGTCTCTAATTAAAATATCATATTTTTAATTTCTAGAAATTCTATTTTTTCCCAATTCTGCCTGGTTATTTTTGACAGCCTCTTATTCCTGCATTGTCTTTTCAGAATTCTCTTTCTTTCCTTAAACCTATTAAACATCTTTACTGTATATTCTATGCCTAAACATTACATGATTTGCAATCCTCTCAAGTGTGATTCTAGAGTTCAATGGTACGGCTATTGCTCATTTAGAGTGACATGCCTCCTTCTGACTTTTAAAATTGTTTGTTGTAAGCTCAAGGTTGTTGGAATTGTATCCATGGGAATCCTTCAAAGCATGGATTTATTTATTACTTATTTTTATTGAGTCAAGGTCTCGCTCTATCACCCAGACTGGAGTGCAGTGGCCTGATCATGGGTCACTGCAGTCTCAACCCCCGGGGCTCAAGCAGTCATCCCACCTCAGCCCCCTGGGTAGCTGGGACTACAGGCATGTGCCACCACACCCAGCTAATTTTTGTATTTCTTGTAGAGGTGGGGTTTCACCATGTTGCCCAGGCTGGTCTTAGACTCCTGGGCTCAAGCCATCGGTCTGTTTCAGCCTCCCAAAGTGCTGGAATTACAGGTGTGAGTGGCCGTGCCTGGCCACTGCATGAATTTAAAACGTGTTCCTCCAGAGAAGGTTTGCACCTGCTTGTGCCAGGAAACACTACTAAATCGTGACCACTTTAAAATTTTGGCCTCCCCCACAACAAAACATCCTTACTGAGGGTGTTGCCTTTTGAGGATCCCAACTTTGTGACAGAGTCTCTGATCCAACTTCCCATTTCGAATGGGCCCTAGGTGTTGTCTCCTGTCCCCAGGTGTGGCCCGTAAGACCCAGGCCTTGGGCACCAGGAATTTGCAGATATTGCAAAGGCAGCACTGACTTGAGTGCTGGCTTACCATTTTTTGCTACATGCTTCCTTATTCTTTCTCTTATTCTTTTCCCTTACTTTTCTGCCAGGCAAGCAATACTTTTAAGAATATGTTTTTACGATTTTAGCCATCATTTTGAGTTTCTGTACCAGGAGAGTTTCTCTGAACATCTAGTCTACCATAGTGTCAGAAATGGGTGGAGGCTTGGGCCTTTGTTACAAGCAGGTTTTTAAAGGCAAAAAAGAGGACAAGGAGTGGGCTGATACAAAGTTGTTTGTCAGGAATTCTCATTGGTTTACAGAAATAACATTGATTAATGATTGGCTGTACAGTGTTGAGCTATAGAGTGTGGGTTATAGAGGACCAGAAGTGGCAGGAAATGGAAGAACAAATCTTAGAGGAGCCAATTTGGGGAGGTTTTAAGCTTTCTAAAAAGCCAATTAAGTTTTACATTTTCATCAGCAAAATCATGCCAACCAGAAAGCAGAGGGATCAAACTTTTTTTTTTGTAAGAGGTGTCAATCAACTAAAAAAAATTCCCAGAAACAGAATCCAAAAGAGAAAAAGCAAAGAGCCCCCAGCCTCACATATAGCCTGGGTATTGGCTTGTAAACAGAAAAACCAAACTCTGTGAAATATATTAAAGAAGTTTATTCTGAGCCCATATGAGTGACCATGGCCAGGGGAATAGTCTCAAGAGGTCCTGAGAAAGTGTGCCTGAGGAGTCAGGTTACACTTTGGTTTTACACATTTTAGAGGGACAGGAGTTACAGGCAAAGATATAAATCAATACATAAAAGGTATACATTGGTTTGGCCTGAAAAGTTGGGACATCTTGAAGTGGGAGCTTGCAAGTCATGGGTGGGTTTTAGAAATTCTTTAGTTGATGGTTGAGAGAGTTAAGCTATTGCTTAAAGACTTGAATTCAGTAGAAAAGAATGCTTGTGTTAAGGTAAGAGGGTCAGGGCAGCATGGTGGCTCACACCTGTAATCCCAGCACTTTTGGAGGTTGACATGGGTGGATCATTTGAGGTCAGGAGTTCAAGACCAGCTTCGCCAACACGGTGAAACCCCCTCTCTACTAAAAATACAAAAATTAGCCGGGCCTGGTGGTGCACGCCTGTAATCCCAGCTACTTGGGAGGCTGAGGCACAACAATCCCTTGAACCTGAAAGGTGGAGTTTGCAGTGAGCCAAGATCATGCCGCTGCACTCTAGCTTGGGCAACACAGTGAGACTCTGTCTAAAAACAACAACAACAAAAATGACAAATAAAAAAGGGAGTCACGGGTGCCAAGGCCCTTATTATGGAGATGAAGCCTCACAGGGACCAGCCCTCAGAAAGAATAGATGGTAAATGTCTCTTTTCAGATTTTTTAAAGTGTCAGCCTCTCAGTTAATCTCTCCTAGATCTTGGAAAGGCCTAGAAAGGAAGACCTGGTTGCAGTGGTGGAGATTCTCTACAGATACAAACTTCCCCCACGAAAGACAGCTTTGCAGGACCATTTCAAAGTATGCCAAACAAATACATTTTGGAGTAAAATATTTTTATTTCCTTCAGGGCCTGTAATCTGCCATGTGGTGCTAAGCCACAGTCAGGTTGGAAAGTAAGCCACAGTATACTGCGTTAATTTTAAAAACCCAGTTAATGAGATTTTATGGTTTGTTGGGTATGATTTAACCCTTGCCTTTCATGGCCTCTAGCAGTTTCTAATCATTCATTGAGTCTTTAATTAAAATATCATATTTTTAATTTCTGAAAATTCTATTTTTCCCCCAATTCTGCCTGGTTATTAGATTTGTTGGAAATAAAGCTCAGGAAATAAAGCTTGCAAAGGAAATGAGCACTCAGATAACTTCTCTGCAAGGCAAAATTTTACTTCTATAGAAGGGTGCTACCTGCATGCAAGGCAGAGGCAAGGGAGCACACTGAACAAAGGAGAGCAGGCATTTTTATCCCTAATGCAGACCCTGTTCCTGGGTCCTCCCCCGGTTGGCTGGAGTCAGACCGCACGATCTAAGCTAATCCCGATTGGCTAGTATTGACATCATCGAAGGAGGCAAGGGTGGGCACTTGATGGGAAGGACGGGCACATAGGTGATGGGACATGCTTGGACGTGTTTGGGTGCAACAGAGATAGGGAGGGCTGATAGATGGACAGGTAACATTACTTTCAGAATAGAACAAAGAACCAGGAACTGAAACTTTTGAAGAGAAACTGTTTGTGCCTAACAGATTGTTGTTCAAAATTTGGTATCTTATTGCCACAGATACTCTCTTTTGCCAGTCTTATAATCCCTGTTTTAACCACAATGCTTGTCAGTTGTGCCTAAACACCAAAAGGGAGGAGGGGTATAACAAGACATGTCGGACCTCACTTCCCACTGTAAACCAAAAATAAAAGTCTAAACCCCCAGTCATCTGAATGGACTCCTCCTGTCCCTAAAGGGCATTCCAAAGTTAACCTGAAACACTAGTTCAGGCCATGATGGGAAGGGGGTTCAGACATGCCTCATGATACCCTCCTCCCTTTTGGATTTACTGATAGAACAGACTCTTTAAGTCTGATAAGAACATTTACAATCTATTCTCTCTGAAGCCTGAGACCTGGAGGCTTCACCTGTATCATAAAACCTTGGTCTCTACAACCCCTTATCTTAACCTGGACATTTCTAAGTCTTTAGACAGTAACTTAACTCTTTCAACCAATTGCCAATCAAAAAATCTTTAAATCTACCTAAGACCTAGAAGCCCTCCACCAGCTTCTAGTTGCCCTGCCTTTCTGGACTGAACCAATGTACATCTTACATGTATTGAGTGATGTCTTTTTTTTTTTTTTTTTTTTTTGAGGCAGAGTCTCGCTCTGTCGCCCAGGCTGGAGTGCAGTGGTGCTATCTCGGCTCACTGCAACCTCCACCTCCTGGGTTCACGCCATTCTCCTGCCTCAGCCTCCCGAGTAGCTGGGACTACAGGTGCCCGCCATCATGCCTGGTTAATTTTTGTATTTTTTAGTAGAGACGGGGTTTCACCATGTCAGCCAGGATGGTCTCGATCTCCTGACCTCATGATCCACCCATGTCGGCCTCCCAAAGTGCTGGGATTACAGGTGTGAGCCACCGTGCCCAGCCAAGTGATGTCTTATGTCTCCCTAAAATGTATAAAGCCAAGCTGTGGCCCAACCACCATATTCTGAGGATCTTCTGAGGGCTGTGTCACAGGCCATTGGTCACTCATATTTGGCTCAGAATAAATCTCTTCAAATATTTCACAGGGTTTGACTCTATTCCTCAACACCTTTGTGGCTGGGAATTCAGTTTTTCAGGTTTCTCTGGGGTCCCCTTGGCCAATAGGGGGTCTGTTCAGTCAGTTGGGGGACTTAGGATTTTATTTTTCGTTCACAAACTTCTAGTTAGGCTGACTTCTGACCACAGAGCTCTTGAAACTTTTTTTTCAAATCTATTATTATTAGATTTCATCCAGGATAAAGAGAAAGTAGGTCTCTCATTCAATTTGCATGGTTTTAAAACCAGTTTTTTCCAATAGTGCATGCAAATGAATTATTTTAGGCATTTCAAAGGACCCCCATTTTGACCACTGTTGCTTATGACTATTCTGGGTTATGCGGGTCCGTTTTCCTAGATATTTACAAAAGGACACTCCATTATGTGTTGTACATAAACCCAGTTGGTGTCTCCAAGAAAGGCTGCCTCCTTAGAGAGTCTTTGGAGTTGGATGATTTTTTACCCGTGTTAAAAAAAAAACTTCAGCCGAATTAAATTTAAAGGAGATTAATTGAGCAAGGAACGATTTGTGAATCAGGCAGACCCCAGAATCACAGCAGATTCAGAGAGACTCCAGGGATGCCTCATGGCCAGAACAAATTTATAGACAAAAAAAGGGAAGTGGCATACAGAAATCGGCAGTGAGGTACAGAAACAGCTGCATTGGTTGCAGGTTGGTGTTTACCTTATTTGAACACAGTTTGAACACTTAGCAATCTATGAGTGGTTGAAGTATGGCTGCTGGGATTGGCCAAGACTCAGCTATTGTTACAGGTGCATACTCCTAAATTAGATTTTCAATCTTGTCTGCATTTTTTTTTTTTTTTTTGAGACAGGGTCTTACTCTGTCACCCAGACTGGAGTGCAGTGACATGATCTTGGCTCACCACAACTTCCGCCTCCCAGGCTCAAGCGATTCTCCTGCCTCAGCCTCCCAAGTAGCTGGGATTACAGGTGTGCACCACCACACCTGGCTAATTTTTGTACTTTTAGTAGATATGGGGTCTCACCGTGTTGGCCACGCTGGTCTCAAATTCCTGACCTCAAATGATCCACCCGCCTTGGCCTCCCAAAGTGCTGGGATTACAGGTATGAGCCACCGTGAACCACCCTGTCTTCCTATTACTAGGTTACAGTTCGTCCACAAGGACTCAAATATAGAAGTATGGAGTCCTTCTCAGGCCATATTTAGTTTGCTTTAACGCCCATAATTTAGACACCTGAATCACTCAGGACTAAGCTCTGGGGAATGTTGCGGTTCCAAATGTGCTGCTTGTGAGTGTAGCTCCTCAATATGTCACCAATGAGTTGGGTCCACTCTTTTATGTGTCTCAGAAACTCGGAGTCCCTGGAGGGTCACAGAGGGTTCACTAGTGCTAGGTGACCAGGCTTCGCGTGCATTTGCTGGCAGAGCAAGAGATTGCAGATGTTCCTCTGAGAGAGGAAACCCTGTAAGGCCACTGGATATCATGGACAAGGGTCCAACACCTCCACCACGTCTCTAATTATTTAGAGCACTCTAACAGGTCAGAGGGAGCAAGAGCCTTTCATCTTTAGAGTGAAGAATCCATTCACTCTCATTAATTAGGAAAAATAACTTCAAGAGAGGTTGGTCATAGGTGAAACAAGTCTGATTTCCAGAATGAAAGGTCACAATGCAACAAGACCTCAGCTGAAAACGAAAGCAAACCGCCGTTCTCTGTGTTGGCAGAAAACAAAATCCTGATCCCCTGACTTCAATAGGAAAGTCAGAGACAGAGACCTTCATTCTGAGAGAGTCAAAAGAGAAACGGCCCAAATTAAAATCTGGACCTTAACCAAAGAAAGGGAGGTCCAGATTCAGAACTCACCTGCAACGCCGGATAGGACTTCTGAAGACAGAGGACACAGTGGATTTGTGCAGATGCTGAGCACTACTTCCAGAGAGAAACACCGGGTGGTCAGGGCTGAGTCACTCCAAATCCTGCTATGTCAGATATGTTGATCCAAAGGAAAAAAATGGAGGCAAAATTACGTAAGTAGAGAGTTTTGTGGGCCCAAGTTTGAGGAAGGCAACCCGGGAGTGTATATTCAGGGCAATTTGAATCCAATGTCCCAGGTTGCAGTCCTCAAACTTGGCCCAAATAAACTCTCTACTTGTATTAATTTTGCCTCAATTTTTTCCTCAATATTTCAAAAAAAAAATGTCATTTGTAGGCCAGGAGTGGTGGCTCACGCCTGTAATCTCAGCACTTTGGGAGCTGAGGAGGGAGGATCACTTGAGTCTTAGAGTTTGAGACCAGCCTAGGCAACATAGTTAGACCCCGTTTCTACAAAAAATTGAAAAAAAAAATAGGCAGGAGTGGTGGCACACACCTGTAGTCCCAGCTACTCAGGAGGCTGAGGAAGTGGGAGTATCACTTGAGCCTGGGAGGTCAAGGCTGCAGTAGGCTGAGATAATGCCACTCCACTCCAGCCTGGGCAACAAAGGGAGACCATGTCTCAAAACCAAAAAAAATAAAAAAATAAAAACACACACAAAAATGAAATGTCATTTGTGCAAAAGTCATTTTTACTCCAGCAGTTGGTCAAGTGTGCTTTACAAACCCTGAGTGTTCTCTTTCCTGCTCTGTTTCTTCATGTCTGCTTAGACTGTCTCTGGGGAAACACCTATAGATTTCATGGTTGCCATAACTGAGCACAAATTGAATGAAAGCTCCACAGAAAGAATGGCAATTATTGCATTAGGTGATGCGACCATCGCCCAGAACTATGTCAAATTGGGAAAAATAAAGGCTTTGAGAGAACTGAGTAACCTTACCAATACTCTTCTATTAAGACTTTTTATTCACAATGTTGCAATTTAGGAAGAGCTATGAGTTCCTTCAGACTAGATGATCTCCATGCCTTGGGATGTAAATTTAAGCAGAAAAGGTTCTCATAAAGAAGCCAAAGAGGATATTTCAACATTAAGCCAAGCATGGTGGCACAGGCCTATAGTCTCAGCTACTCTGTTTTTGGAAGGCAGGAGAATTGCTTGAGCCTAGGAGTTTTAAGCTAGCCTGGGCAACATAGTGAGACCCCCATCTCTTAAAAAAAAAAAAAGAAAAAAGAAAAAAAGGGCCAGGTGCAGTGGCTCACGCCTGTAATCCCAGCACTCTGGGAGGCTGAGAGGGGCGGATCATGAGGTCAGGAGTTTGAGACCAGCCTGGCCAACATGGTGAAACCCTGTCTCTACCAAAAATACAAAAATTTGGCCTGACGCAGTGGCTCACACCTGTAATCCCAGCACTTTGGGAGGCTGAGGCAGGTGGGTCACCTGAGGTCAGGAGCTCAAGACCAGCTTGGCCAACATGGTAAAACCCTGTCTCTACTAAAAATACAAAAAGTTAGCCAGGCGTGGTGGCTCATCTCTGTAATCCCAGCTACTCAGAGGCTGAGGTAGGAGAATCGCTTGAACCTGTGAGGCAGAGGTTGTGGTGAGCCGAGATTGTGCCTGGGCAACAAGAGCAAAACTCCATCTCGAAAAAAAAAAAAAAAGAAAAGAATTAGCCAGGCATGGTGGTGGGCACCTGTAATCCCAGCTACTCAGGAGGTTAAGGCAGGAGAATTGCTGGAACCTGGGAGGCAGAGGTTGCAGTGAGCCGAGATTGCGCCATTGCAGTCCAGCCTGGGCGACAAGAGAGAAACTCCATCTCAAAAAAAAAAAAAAAAAGAATGTACCTGTTCCTTCTCAAGGACCCCGGAGCTCCAGGGGCCCAGCCAGCATCATGCAGTTAGCTGATATGTGACACAGAATCTGTGACGTGGTTTTGCTGTGTCCCCACCCAAATATCATCCTCAATTGTAGTTCCCATAATCCCCTCGTGTCATGGGAGGGATCCAGCAGGAGGTAATTTAATCATGGAGGTGTTTACCCTCAGGCTGTTCTTGTGATAGTGAGTGAGTTCTCCTGAGAGCTGATGGTTTTATAAGGGGCTTTCCCGCTTTTGCTCTGCACTTTTCCTTGTTGCCACCATGTGAAGAAGGACGTGTTTGCTTCCCCTTCCGACATGGTTGTAAGTTTCCCGAGGTCTTCCCGGCCCTGTGGAACTGTGAGTCAATTAAACCTCTTTCCTTATTAAATTACCCAGTCTCGGGTATGTCTTTATTAGCAGCATGAGTACAGACTAATACAATCCATTTTCATCCAACTGGGCCTGGACCCAGAGCTGCTGAGGCGCTAAAGCATGATACAACTGTCAAGTGATTTAGGCCGACTCGATTTACTCAACTTGTTTTTCTGCTTCCACCATCATCAATGTGGAGGGTTGTTTCTATTCTGATTACTGGATCATACTTTTTGGTAAATTTTCCGAGGTTAAAGAAAAAGCAATTGTCTTTGGCCCTACGTAACTTCTGGCGTATTTAATGGCAGAGGCTCTTAGTTCCCTCTTCTCTCCCCAACATCTTAGTGCTCAGTTCCTACCTCTTTTGAGTATCTCCTGGGGTTACTCTGAACCCTGGAGTGGGCCCTTGCCCTCTGTTTTGCTGCTCAGCAGCTGACCCTCTTGCTGTGTTGGGGATCAAACTTTCTCTCCTTTGGCAAAGTGTGGGAGGTAGAACCCGGGAGAGGGGAGGCGCCTACCACATTCCCAAGGCAGCCTGGAGCACAGAGGTGGGGGAAGTAGGGAAAGTAGGAAACCCAGAGTTTACTAAGAGGCCAGAGATACTCACCCTGGGGCTGACCATCCACAAAGCTGGGAAGGTGGCAGTTTTTTGGAGGCCACTTGCCAGCCAGGGCCTGTGGAGCTGCAGCTGACAGGCAGCCCTGTGGGGGTCGGAGGACCTGGAATCAGCTCACCAATGAGGGTGTGGGTGAGGGTGTGGGATTGCAGTGCAGACGACCACCCACCGATGGGCTGGAAGAGGGCCCTAAGGGACTCTACCGCCTGGGGGGAAAGGCTCCTGCCCTCTGAGCTCTTGGGTGTCCGTAGCTGTCAGGCTTTTCTGCTGGGATGTAGGAGGTGGGTGGGGGCTGGGGCCTCTGGGGCCCAAGGGAGGACATGGGGCCCGCTGCTGTGGATGGTTCCACCCAGAGACTCAGAAGCACCTCTGCCTTCGGGGGAATGTGAGGCCGGTCCCTGAACCCTGCGACGATTTACCCAGTGTTGCTGAAGCTCCTGTCCCTCCATCTGTTGTCCTGTCAGAAGCGGCTCCACTGCAGGAGCTACGGCCAGGTAGTACCTGCTGTCCAAGTGACCCCTCCCTGCGGTTCTCCACAGATGCCACTGACTCTTCAGGTTCCCTTCTACTCCTTTTCTCTCCCCCTTCCACCAGTGCCCCTCTCTCTCAGGATCAGCTAAGCATGTGTCCCACACGGCTGTCTCAGGTTCTACCCACAGGACTGCACTGGCTTGGTGGGCAGAAGGATCTCAGGGCTCAGAGGAGCTCAGCCCCGGCCTGGGCCGGTCAGCTCCCCTCCCCAGCCCACCCTCTGCTCCCCACTGTGCTGTGCTCTCACCCTCTTCCGCCTGCTCTCCCTCCCAAACCCAGCCTTGCTGGGCTCCCTTCTAGTGGGGAACTTTTCAGCATGAATCCCATCACCACCTGTCGTTTACCTTCACCAGCTCTGTGTTTGCAGGACCACCTCGTGATCACTGGCTTGTCTCCTGAGAAGCTGAGGAATGTGTGCTGCGGTACAGCAGAGACAAGGACGCCATGACTCTGGCCCGCACAGCCCATCAGGGAAGCAGCCCCACCTGTGTCCTCCAGGAGACCTTCCTGTGATATTGACTCAGGACCCCACCTCTGTCTTCACTGTGCCAGATGCTCCCCCTCAACCCAAGTCCTCTGTCTCTGGGTGGAGTAGAGCTGCCTCAGTACGGGGATGAGCCGGCGGGCAGGCCAGGGGCTTTCCTCGACAAGCTATTCTAGAGTTGATGTTCTCGTAATTTTTGTTCTCAGGAACCCTTTACATTCTTAAAAAAAGTAGGACCCCGAAGAGTTTTTGCTTATGTGGGTTATATCTATCCATAACCATCACATTATAAATTAAAATAGAGAATTTAAAAAATATATTTATTTTAAAATAACACTAATTGATTAACCCATTTTATGTGAACATATATAACATTTTTATGCAATATTATTATTTTCCATATAAGAAGAAAATATTTAGTGAGAATGGCAGTGCTTTACATTTTTTGAAAATATCTTTAATGTCTGTTGTAATAGACAGCTGGAGTCTCTTATCTGCTTCTTCATTCCATTTGTTGCAATATCACATGTCATGTGGCTCCTGGAAAATTACACTACACTCTTGAAAGAGTAAGAGTAAAAAATATAGACAACTTCTTTTTTGTTTGTTTGTTTGTTTGTTTGAGACAGTCTCACTCCTGTTGCCCAAGCTGGAGTGCAGTGGTGAGAAGTGGTAAGAACACAGTTCACTACAGCCTCCACTTCCCAGGCTCAGGTGATTCTCCCATCTCAGCTTCTCGAGTAGCTGGGACTACATGTGTACACATCCAAGCCCAGCTAATTTTTTGTTTTGTTTTGTTTTTATTTTTTTGAGATGGAGTCTTGCTCTATCGCCTAGGCTGGAGTGCAGTGGTATGATCTCGGCTCATTGCAACCTTCACCTCCGAGGTTCAAGCGATTCTCCTGCTTCAGCCTCCTGAGTAGCTGGAACTACAGACGCCTGCCACCACACCCAGCTAATTTTTCTGTATTTTTGGTAGAGATGGGGATTCACCTATTGCCCAGGCTGGGCTCAAACTCCTGACCTCAAATGATCCACCCTCCTCAGCCTCCCAAAGTGCTGGGATTACAGGCGTGAGCCACCATGCCCACCTTGTTTTGTTTTTTTGGGACGGAGTCTCACTCTGTCACCCAGGCTAGAGTGCAGTTGTGCCATCTTGGCTCACTGTAACCTCTGCCTCCCAGGTTCAAGCGATTCTCATGCCTCACCCTCCCAAGTAGCTGGGATTACAGCTGCCACCACACCTGGCCAATTTTTGTATTTTTAGTAGAGACGGGGTTTTGTCACGTTGCCCAGGCTGGTTTTCAATTCCTGGTCTCAAGAGATCCACCTGCCTCCACCTTCCGAAGTGCTGGATTACAGGTGCGAGCCACCATGTGTGGCCTAAAAATATAAAACTATCAAAGTAGTTTTGGCTACTTAGACCACCTTAAGGGCCTCGGAGACCCCCAGGGTTCCTAGACCATACTTTGAATACCTCTGAGCTGGAGCAGGAGTTAGCAAACTTCTGTTAAGGACCACAGAGTAAATATTTTAGGCTTTTCAGTCTCTAGTGCAGCTATTTGACTCTGCAATGCTATCAGGAAGGCAGCCATAAATAACACATAAACACATGGGTGTGGATGTGTTCCAATAAAACTTTATTTACAAAAATACATGGGGGGCTGGGTTTGGCCCACTGGCCATAGTTTGCCTACCTTGATCTAGAATAGAATAAGCTTTTAGGGGCCCTGGGTTTAGGGCTCATGCCACAAAAGGGAGAGGACAGTGCCATCTGACTCACCCTAGCCAGGCTCCTCCCAGAGGAAGAGAAAAGGAGTCTCAGAGAAGGCTAGATCCTCTACTTCTCTAGTTCCCAATTTGGTAAAATCCAGTGTCCACTGTATTACTTAGAAATCACTGGGCCAGCCGGGTGCGGTGGCTCATGCCTGTAATCCCAGCACTTTGGGAGGCCGAGGCGGGCGGATCACGAGGTCAGGAGATCAAGACCATCCTGGCTAACATGGTGAAACCCCGTCTCTACTAAAAATACAAAAAAAAAAAAAAATTAGCCGGGCGTGTTGGCGGGTGCCTGTAGTCCCAGCTGCTCGGGAGGCTGAGGCAGGAGAATCGCGTGAACCCAGGAGGCGGAGCTTGCAGTGAGCCGAGATCACGCCACTGCGCTCCAGCCTCGGTGACAGAGTGAGACTCTGTCTCAAAAAACAAAAAAAAAGAAATCACTGGGCCAGCTCTGCTTCTCCCACAGCCGCATTTTTTTTTTTTTTTTAGACGGAGTTTTACTCTTGTTGCCCAGGCTGGAGTGCAATGGCACAATCTCAGCTCACTGCAAACTCCACCTCCTGGGATCAAGCAATTCTCCTGCCTCAGCCTCCCAAGTAGCTGGGGTTATAGGCATGTGCCACCACACCCAGCTAATTTCGTATTTTTAGTAGAGACAGGGTTTCACCATGTTGGTCAGGCTGGTCTTGAACTCCTGACCTCAGATGATCCACCCCCGACCCCGGCCTCCCAAAGTGCTGGGATTACAGGCATCAGCCACCACACCCAGCCCCACAGCCCCATCTAAGCCTCCACCCTGCCATCCTGTTCCTCAGAAAGCACATGCTCTGTGGAGGGAGCCAGCAGGGAAGTCTTGTTCCCCACCTCCACCTCCATCCCAATCCCAAGTCCTGGGGATGGGGCAGGTGGTGCAGGAAGACCAGGTAGGCCAGGCCAATCCCCTATGGAGCAGCTGAGCCTCCAACTCCTGAGCCAGGCCACCCTAGTGTCATTTGTCATCCATGCTCAAATGTTTTCATCCATATTTTCTTTTATTTCTTTTCTTTTCTTTTTTTTTCTTTCATTTTTTTTTCCCGAGATGGGGTCTTGCTCTGTCGCCCAGGCTGGAGTGCAGTGGCGTGATCTTGGCTCACTGCAACCTCCGCCTCCTAGGTTCAAGCAATTCTCCTGCCTCAGCCTCCCAAGTAGCTAGGATTACAGGTGCCCACTACGACATCTGGCTAATTTTTGTATTTTTAGTAAAGAAGGGGTTTCATCATGTTGGCGAGGCTGGTCTCGAACTCCTGACCTCATGATCCGCCCGCCTCGACTCCCCAAAGTGCTGGGATTACAGGCATGAGCCACTGAGCCTGGCTGTGTTTTTCTTTCTCATTGCAGAGACAAAGCGGGTTACTTCTGGTTCATTCACGCATCCAAGTCCTGACATGTCTCAAGGGCATTACTGTGCTTGTCAGGGAGGGAGGGCCCAGTCCATCCTCTGGTTATTCCCATCCATCCCCTAGGCCTTCCCTTGGCTCACCCTGCCCCCTGCCAGGCCCCTTTGCTTGCTGGCCTGACGGGGCTGGGTCTCTGTGGCTGGAGGAGATGGCCTCTGCCCCACCCCCCTCGACTGTCCTGGGCACAAAGGAGAACAGCTTTGCCTGGAAAGGGCCCAAGACACCCTGAGAAACTTGTAGCGATGGGACCTGCCTCCTGCAGCCCTCCACCTGCGTCATCCTTCCTGTGCCCTCCTTGTCTACACCAGGGCCATGCGGTCACCCCTGAGGGCTCTAATGTTACTAGGCAAAGGCCTGAGTCTGAGCAGGACAGGGTGGGGCAAGCTCCAACCCAAAGTCTACTCTATTATCAGGAGAAGCTCCATGCTATCCAGAGGACCCCGACACACACCCCAAGCCAATTTCCCTTCATCCCCAGGAAAGTGTGCCACCAACTGAGGAGGAAATGTATCTGCTTCTCTTCCTAGCACTCCCGTGAACTCAACCAGGAAGATACTGCTGTTTGGCTTTAAAAATAGTACATTCTAGCTGGACTTTTATGGTCTTGTGAAGAACACTGTGCTCATGCCCTCCCACACCTGGCCTCTGCCCCTGCCTGGCCCTGTCCAGCTGCCCACATCAGCTCTGCACAAGCTCTTCAGGGTCCCTCTGCAGAGACGTGGTTCAAGGCAGATTTACGAGTTCAGCCTTGGCCGAGGCCTTCTCCCCATGGCTCCCATCCACATTCCAGCTGTTCTCCCACATCCCAGGCAGCTCGGGGCTGGGATGTTCTGTGTCTCTTTTTCTACCTCTACCACAACTGGCTCAGTCGCACCCCCAGCCCTATTTCAGCTCTGCCCTGGCCAGCCCTGTGGAGGTACAGGGTCCTGTCATGCCAGAACCCAGACCCCAACCATTCCCAGCCTGCCCAGAGCTCACTTACATTCATGATAACAACAATGGTGTGTGTCTAAGGATAACCTTGTTGGGACTCTAGTTGGTCATGCCCGTCCCCTCCCACTCTGAAGGGCTGAAATTTAACCGAAAGGTAATTTGTTCCATCTGGACTTCAGGTGCCAGGTTTGAGGCTACATCCGATCTGGAAAGTTATTTTCAGTGTGTGTAGATTCTATGATTAGTCCTCAAGTTATTTCTTTAGGGCCAGAGATGAGTTTCACCGAAGCTATATCACATTTCTGGCACCCCATGGTAGGACTTAGAGAAAGCCCCCAAGGACGATCTCCATGAGGCGGAGCCGGCCCTAGGGAGCTAATAGACTATAGAAATAACTCCAGAGCCAGGGAAGCCTCGAACACAAATTTTACAAGGAGCCAATTGAGTGGTTGAGCAGTTGAAGGCAGGCCTATCTTGTTTTTGCTTGAGGGCAGGTTTCTAACATAATGGAAAGAGAAGACTGTAATGATCACCCCCTATATACCTGATCTTCTCTTAAGGTCCTTCAAGGATGTAATTGATTCTGTCAATATCCTTCATATTTAAGGCCATAAGTTGCTGCTTGGTTCAATTAAGGTAGAATTGCTTCTGGTTAAGATCTCAAACTAGGCATCTGGGACTATCTAAAAGTTTCTCTGGAAACTGGAATGTAAGCAATGCAAGATGTATGGCTTAACCTGTAGATATAACTCATGTCAAGAAAACAGTGGGGTTGGGCATGGTGGCTCATGCCTGTAATCCCAGCACTTTAGGAGGCTGAGGTGGGAGGATCACTTGAGGCCAGGGGTTCGAGGCCAGCCTGGGCAACATATCAAGACCCCCATCTCTACATAAAAAGAAGAAGAAACGAAAAGAAAAGAAAAGAAAAGAAAAGAGTGGAAGAGTGCAGGAGCCGAGAGGGAGAGAAAATGTAGTGGTGAGGGGCAGCTTCTGGAAAGGCCCATACTACAGAGGGAGGAATCCTGAATTCCTCACTATCTCTCTAACATCAGGTAAGCATCTCATGATGCAGTTAGAAAGCACATTTCCTTCTTCAGTTTCCCCTCTGGCTGTGTGACCCAGCCCAGATCTGTTTACACTTGGAGCTACCAGGAGCCTATCCGGCCACCTGGCTTTCCCATCAGCACCTGGGGCTGGTGCCATCCCAGGCCCCTCCCTCTGCACCTGCCTTTTTGCTATCTGCAGAGGGTTTGTAGAAACCTTAGGGGAAGAAAGCTAGGGTGGTTCCCTACCTCAACTTTGAGCCCAATTATACCTCTTTCTCTCCCACTTCCCAGTAGCTGTCACAGAAGAGCCATGGGGAAGTCCCCTCCTGGGGACCAAGGAGGAGGCTCTCCAACCTGTGCCCCTCTAGGTACTGTCCATCACAGAAGTGCTACTGCTTCTCTTGGTCTGCATGCTGGAACTTGGGAGCTGAGTCTGAGTCAAGTCTGATGGCTGAGAATCTGGGGGCTGGTAGAAAATCCAGGCCCATAAGCATGAGTCACAGTCTAGGAGAAAAGGGCGAGTGTGATAATTATTTGTCACCAAGAGCTGGTGAGAGTGGTGTGGTGGAAAGGAGAGCATCTGCCTCTCCAGGGACTTGGGACCCCACCTCTGCATCTCTTGTTCTTTGGCTGGGGGTGCTGGCTGTGGTGGAGTCAAGATCGGAGTACCCCAGGCCTCCAGCATAGAGACGAGATCGCATCGGCCACTTCTGCAAGACACAGATTGGGAAGTGAGAAATGCTGCTATTGCAGCCCTTCGTGGTCCAGGATCCTTGACACCCAAAACCCAGCCTTCTCCAGCATCCCTCCCTGACACCTTCCCCAGCCATCACTGCTCTGATCAGGGTCATCATCATGTACAGCCCCACACATTCTCCTGATCACCCAGAGCCTGGATGAGAGACACAGGAGGAGCCATCTGAGGAGGGAGAGGGCCCCAAGAAGAGCAGCGCTCTGTTGGGAGGGAGGTGGACAGAAGATCAGCTGGCCTGGGCAGAGCTGGCAACAGCCAGAGGCTGAGCAATGGGCAGAGCAGCAGAGCCAGGAAAAACTCCAAGCTGGGTCCTCCAAGGTTTGCCCATCTTTCCAGCAGGAGCATGAGCAGTCCCAGAATACACCAGGTTGATTGCCCTGAGGTCGCCCTCCTGTTCACAACCTCTCCACCTGGGAGCTGAGGGAGCTGCTTCCTGGCCAACTGCCCCACCCTGTGGATGTGCTGGAGTGCTGGACCTAACCGGGCCCTCATTGGTTCATTCTTCAGCATAGCTGTTGATCACCTACTACAAGCAAGGGCCTTGCCTTGGTCACTATTTTACAGCGAAGGAAACTACTATATCATCCCAGGACCCTGCACCACCACTGACATTTCAGAGTTCCCCACTTAGTCTCAAATTTATACATTTTAGCTACATTTGCATTGAAGAAAAAAACCAAGTTTTAAGACATTTCAGAACTATGACATTTAGGGGAAAGAGGTGGTGAAAAGTATCATAAAAATAAAGTTGAGAGGTGAGAGGATCACTTGAGCTTAGAGTTTGAGACAAGCCTGTGGAACAAAGTGAGACCCCGTCTCTACAAAAAAAAAAAGAAAAAAAAAAGCCAGGTGTGGTGGCATAAGGCTGTAGTCCCAGCTACTGGGGAAGCTGAGGTGGGAGGATTCCTTGAGCCCAGGAGTTTGAGGGTACAGTAAGCTATGATTGCGCTACTGCACTCCAGCATGGGCGACAGTGAGACCCTGTCTCAACAATAAGTAAATAAATAAATAGTTGGGTGTGGTGGCTCACACCTGTAATCCCAGCACTTTGGGAGGCCGTAGTGGGTGGATCATCTGAGGTCGGGAGTTTGAGACCAACCTGGCCAAAGTGGTGAAACCCTATCTCTACTAAAAATAGAAAAATTAGCCGGGCATGGTGGTGCACGCCTATAATCCCACCTACTCGGGAGGCTGAGGGAGGAGAATCACTTGAACCGGGAGGTGGAGGTTGCAGTGAGCCAAGATTGCGCCACTGCACTCCAGCCTGGGCGACAGAGTGAAACTCTGTCTCAAAAAAATAATAGTACATATATAAATAAATAATAAAATAAAAAAGTTGATACCACTGCAATGTTATCCTCAGAGGGCAAAGATGACCCTTCCTTTTTAACACAGTGCACTCTTCAACCAGCTCCTTATGGCGCTGTCCCTGGAGACTGTTTAGTGGCTATGAGCTTAGGGTCTGAAGTCAGACACCCCTGAGTTCAAACCGCTTTCAGCCTCATAACCTCCCTAAGCTTCAGTTTCCTCATCTGTAAAGTAATCCTCATTTGGTTTTTGCATGGATTAAAAGACAAAAATACACTAACGTACTTAACCCAGCTCCTGGCCTATCTTTAGCACTCAACTGTTAGCTGTTATTGCAAAGATGATTAATGTTCATTAGACTTTCCATTTTGTACTCTGGAAGAGAAGTAAGGCTCATGTTAGCTTCTATTTTACGTGTAATAAAACTGAGGTTGAGAAAAGCTAGATTGCAGTCTGGCAAGTGGTGCGCGCCTTCCCTGTACTGCTGCCTGCTAACTCCCCCAGCTTGGTTGCTTCTAGAATGACGGTCCCTCAGACCGTTGTTCTCCTGGAGGACAGACCTCTCTTGCAACAGAAGCCTAGAAAGCACCAAGGCAGGCACAATGGGCTGAAGCTGCATGGGGATCTAGGACTCTCCTTGGTATAATTTCCTTTCCCAGGCCCCAGACTTGGAACCTGCTACATTTTTCCCTGTGACTCTAAGAACCCCAGAGTCTTTCCCTCCTCTTCAAGGAGGTGCATTCCCATGAAGCCATTTCCAGCCACACTCCCATGAGAAACCCAGGGTCAGCGCAGCCCCAAGGGTCAGCCTTGGCTCCTCTCCCTCTGAGACAGCAGGAGAAATTGGCTCCGACGTCAGTTCTGCACAGGGCAGGGGGCCCAAGTCCAATGTCCCCCCTCATTCCAATCCCTTTCTCCAAGGCCCTGGGCATTAAGATCCGCCTCTCAAGTCCCAGGGCTTGTGACTTACCTTGAGAGGGTGCAAGTAGCGGAGTCCACGCAGGAAGGGCGGCCAGGCAGGGCCAGGCAACTCGTGGCCGAGTGTGCGGGTGAGGTGGGCTATGTAGCTGGCGGCGAGCACCAGCACGTCCAACTTGGAGAGCTTGGTGTCGGGCGGCACGGCAGGCAGAGCAGCCTGCAAGGCCAAGAAGGCCTGGCGCAGCGTCCTGACCCGGCTCCGCTCCCGCGCGGCATTCTCAGGACTGGCCTCGCTCTGCACAGAGGGCCCCAGTGAGTGTGTGTGACCTGGACTCCCAACTGCCCTGACTTCTGAGAGCGTTTGAGCACAAGGTCTCCCACCAGAGTAGAAGGGTGTCTAGCAGTAGGCACCAGAGGGCCTCTGCCCACCTACGTCATCTGCAGCCCTGCCGCGTTTCACAGCTGAGGAAGTTGGGGGAAGGCCTGGCCAGGGGTCAGATGGCTGCAGGATGGCAGAGCTTGGCTCAGAACCCAGAGTCCTGTGTTCTCTCTACTACTCCACTCATGCCTCCTCAGAGCCTTTGTCCTGTCCCATGCCCAATCTGAATCCTGCTTATCAGGGTGTGCTGGGGCCAGGGGGAGTTCAGAGCTACACCCTGTTTGGGAGGGCGGACCCTTGACCTAGCCAGGTCCTGAGACGACGAGGCTGCTGTGGGAAAGAGGAAAGACACAGAACCAGGGGTCAAAGCACACAGGCTGAAGTCCCAGTCCTACCACTGGCTGCTGCTCAGTGACCTTGGGAAATTCACATCCCTCTTCCCGGCCTCAGTTTCCTCAAGAGAAGTGAGTTAGTGCAGCTCTCTGAGCTGCACTCTGGTTAAGACCAGCTCTGATCTATCCCAACTACCCAAAGCATGATGCCTTGGAGTCTAAGGGGCCAGTGTCCCCTCTCTTGGGCAGGAATGGTAATACTGAGTGAGGCTGTACCATCAGAGGTGACATCTCCCCACCTTCCAACCCCTTCCTCCCCTGGACCCCTCTGCAGGTGCAGGATTTCCTTACCCTGCCAAGAGCCAGGCCCCCAGCCCTGGTCCCTCGAGGGCCAGGGGTAGCTCTGCTCCATCTCTGGTTGCTCCAGCTTCTTTCTTCCCACGGGTCCTGCCTTGTCCTGCTGAGGCGGCTCCTCTTCCTGTCAGCGCCTGGCAGCAACCGTGCTTTGGCCTGAGTCTGGCTATGCCCCACCCCTGGCATGGCTGGTGGCCCTCTGGCCTTCCTCTGTGACATGCCACCCCACTGGGGCTGCAGCCCACAGAGCAGAAACACAGTGCCTGAGGAGGCCTTGGACTCAAGCTAGCTGGCTGTGGCTGGTCATCCAGCCAGCAATATCTACATCCGAGGAAGCTGGCGCCAACTCAGTCCTGTTTGCTCCCTGCTCTGGGAAAACCGCCCACCAGGCACAGCCCCCGCGAAAAGCCTCCGCCTGCCTCCTAACCCAGCTGAGAGGTGGGGGTGCTGGATGCTGGGAGTGGCCAAGCCTTGGGAGGAGGCCCATGCTGAAGAAGGCAGGAGGATAGTGGGGAAGGGAGCTCCTTTCCGGCCATGCCTAACCTCAACAGTGGTCCTATGGTGGACCTGTGACTTCCGCTTTGGAGCTCACGTCCATGGAGAGGACTTGAACCTCCTTCGTCTGTGCCAGAAGGCTGCCTGCATACATCCCTGAAAGGCCTTTCCTCCCCTTGCCAATGAACGTGACCTTCCAGCCACAGAGCGCGATTTGCCATGCCCCAAATATGCCTCCGATTTCCACTCTGTGTTTAAATTTACCTTTCCACGCCCCAGAATACCTTCCTCCAGCTCTGCCAGGAGGTACTGCCCATCCTTCAGGTCTCCGCCTTTCATTCGTGAAGACTTCAAATCCCGCAGGCCCAGAGCCCATGGGTCCCTGTTTGATTGGTACAATCACAGCCTGGCTACTTTCCCAGAAGTTCGATATTCATAGATTACTGTGTGCCAGGCACTGTGCTAAGCATCTTATTTATTTCTCAGAGCAACCTTTTAAGAAAAAAAGAGACTCAGTTTAGATGTGTGGGAACTGGTATACTGGGAGGTGAAATAACTTGCCCAATGTCAAACATCCGTTAAGTGGTGGGGTGGGATGAAAATCCAAGCCGTCAGTTGGACTTTGAAGGCTACCCCTCACCTGATGCTAGCCTGCCTCCCATGGGTTACTCACGCGTCTGTCCCCATGCTAGACATGAGGTCTCTGAAGGCAAGGACCATGGTGTTCCTGAGTTGCATCACATCCTCCAAGAGCTAGTTAGGAGAAGGCGGGCTGAAGGAATCGCGAATCTGCCACAGCAGCCCCTGCTGTCTTCCAGGGACCTCTGCCTGTAGCAGAATCCAGCCTGATGTCCCTTGTCCCCCATTCTCGAACCTCAGGGGAGATCAAATAAGTAAGGAGAAAGTAAAAAGGTGGATGTACAGTGAGAAAGATATGCAGCCCACCACAGAGAAAGGGAAAAAGAGGCCGGGCGCGGTGGCTCACGCCTGTAATCCCAGCACTTTGGGAGGCAGAGGCAGGTAGATCATGAGGTCAAGAGACGGAGACCATCCTGGCCAACTTGGTGAAACCCCGTCTCTACTAAAAATACAAAAATTTAGCTGGGTGTGGTGCCACGTGCCTGTAGTCCCAGCTACGCGGGAGGCTGAGGCAGGAGAATTGCTTGAACCCGGGAGGCAGAGGTTGCAGTGAGCCGAGATTGCCTGGGCTCCAGCCTGGGCGACAGAGCGAGACTCCATCTCAAAAAAAAAAAAAAAAAAAAAAAAAAAAGGAAAGGAAAGGAAGGAAGGAAGGGCCGGGTGCAGTGGCTCACACCTGTAATCCCAGCACTTTGGGAGGCTGAGATGGGCAGATCACGAGGTCAGGAGACTGAGACCATCCTGGCTAAGATGGGTGAAACCCCATCTCTACTAAAAATACAAAAAAATTAGCCGGGCGTGGTGGTGGGTGCCTGTGGTCCCAGCTACTCAGGGGGCTGAGGCAGGACAATGGCGTGAACCTGGGAGGTGGAGCTTGTAGTGAGCCAAGATCGTGCCACTGCACTCCAGCCTGGGCGACAGAGCAAGACACGGTCTTGAAAAAAGAAGGAAGGAAGGAAGGAAGGAAGGAAGCAAAGAAAGAAAGAAAGAAAGGTAGGTAGGTTAGTAGAAACAACCTGCATGTCCATCAGTAGGGAAGTCGTTAAATAAATTTTGGCATCTCCATACTATGAAATAATGTACAGTAATAAAAATAATGACAGCCCTTTGTTAAATGACATGAAAAACTCTTCAAAACACACAGTTGTGAAAAAAGCTAGTTGTAGATCAATATATATAGTAAGACCCCAGCCACGTAAAAAAATACACCAAAAAATAAAAAATAGAAATGTAAAGTTTTATGTGCTTATGTGAACATATAGAAAGGAGATGGAAAAGATGTGCATCAGGCCGGGCGCGGTGGCTCACGCCTGTAATCCCAGCTCTTTGGGAGGCCGAGGTGGGCGGATCACCTGAGGTCAGGAGTTCGAAACTAGCCTGGCCAACATGGCGAAACCCTGTCTCAACTAAAAATACAAAAATTAGCCAGGTGTGGTGGCAGGTGCCTATAATCCCAGTTACATGGGAGGCTGAGGCAGAAGAATTGCTTGAACCCGGGGGCGGAGGTTGCAATGAGCTGAGATCACGCCACTTCACTCCAGACTGGGCAGAAGAGCGAAACTCCATCTTAAAAAACAAACAACAACAAAAAAAACCCCAAAAATTATCCAGGTATGGTGATGCATGCCTATAGTCCCAGATACTCGGGAGGTTGAGGCAGGAGTCGCTTGAACCCAGGAGGTAGAGGTTGCAGTAGGCCGAGATCGTGCCACTGCACTCCTGCCTGGGCGACAAAGTGAGACTGTCTCAAAAAAAAATAAAAAATAAAAACAGTGCAGTTACCCCCTTGCTCCCTCTTGGATCGCTCACTCTGGGGGAAGCCAGCTGCTATCTTGAGGATATCCAAGCAGCCCTGTGGAGAGGCCCATGTTGTGAGGAACTGAGGCCTCTCACTGACAGCCACCACGACTTGCCAACCGTGGGAGTGAGCCACCTCAGAAATGGATCCTCCAGTTCCAGTTGGACCTCCAGATGACTGCAGCCCTGGCTGTCGGTTTGAGTGCAACCCATGAGAGACCCTGAGCCAAGATCACCCAGCTAAATTGCTCTTGCCCGTAGAATTCCTGACTTATAGAAGCCATAGAAGATAATAAATGTTTATTGCTGCTTAAGTTTGGGGGTAATTTGGAAGCAGCTATAGATAACTAATGTAGTATGTGTTACTGAAGCCTGTGCATTGTTGTATGAATAAATTTTAAATTTACACAAATGATAATTGTATTAGCCAGGTGCAGTGGTGCATGCCTGTAATCCTAGCTTCTCAGGAGGCTGTTGGGGCAGAGGGGAAGATCACTTGAGCCCAGGAGTTCCAGGTTACAGTGAGCTATGATTGCGCCACTGCACTCCACCCTGGGCAACAGAGATAGAATCTGACTCAAGCAATCCTCAAAATTACAAGTTTCAAGCAATTAGGCAGAAAATCAATAAGGATATAGACGACTTGGGAAACACTATAAACCTACTAAACCTAACAGACATCAAATAACACTCAACAACATAATGCTACAGATTCTTCTAAATTGCACATGGAAGATTCTCCAGAATGGATCATATGTTAGAGTCTCCAGAATGGATCATAAAACAAGCCTCAACATGCGCAGTGGCTCACGCCTGTAATCCCAGCACTTTGGGAGGCCGAGGCATGCGGATCACCTGAGGTTGGGAGTTCAAGACCAGCCTGACCAACATGTAGAAACCCCATCTCTAGTAAAAATACAAAATTAGCCGGGCGTGGTGGCACATGCCTTTAATCCCAGCTACTTGGGAGGCTGAGGCAGGAGAATCGCTTGTACCTGGGAGGTGGAGGTTGCAGTGAGCCGAGATCGCTCCATTGCACTCCAGCCTGGGCAATAAGAGCGAAACTCCACCTCAAAATAAAATAAAATAAATAAAACAAGCCTCAGTAGATTTAAAAGGACTGAAGGCATACAAATAATATTCTCTAACCACAATATAATTAAATTAGAAATCAATAACAGAGCTAACTTTTGAAAATTCACAAACATAGAGAAATTAAACAACACATCCTTAAATAATCAGTAAGTTAAAGAAGATATTGCAAGGAAAATTAGAAAATACTTTGAGACGAATGTAAACAAAAACACAACATACCAAAATTATGAGATCCAGCTAAAGCAGTGAAAAAGAAGGAAAATTTATAGCTGTAAATGTTTATATTTAAAAAAAAAATGGCCAGGCGCAGTGGCTCACGCCTATAATCCCAGAGCTTTGGGAGGCTGAGGCGGGCAGATCACCTGAGGTCAGGAGTTTGAGACCAGCCTGCCCAACATGGCAAAACCCCATCTCTACTAAAAATACAAAAAAATTAGCCGGGCATGGTGGCAGGCGCCTGTAATCTCAGCTACTCGGGAGGCTGAGGCAGGAGAATCGCTTGAACCCGGGAGGCGGAGGTTGCAGTGAGTGGAAATAGCACTGTTGCACTCCAGCCTGGACAACAAGAGCAAATCTCTGTCTCAGAAAAAAAAAAAAAAAAAAAAGTTAAAAAAATTTGAAAACGAGAAAAAATTTCAAATCAGTAACTAACCTCTTTAGGAAACTAGAAACAGAAGAGCAAACTAAACTCAAAGTAAGCAAAAGGAAGGAAATAATGATGATTAGAGCAGAAATAAATGAAATAGAAAATAGAAAAACAGGCCGGGCACAGTGGCTCAAGCCTGTAATCCCAGCACTTTGGGAGGCCGAGGCGGGTGGATCACCTGAGGTCAGGAGTTCGAGACCAGCCTGGTCAACATGGTGAACCCCCGTCTCTACTAATAATACAAAAATTAGCCAGGCGTGGTGGCAGGCGCCTGTAATCCCAGCTACTCAGGAGGCTGAAGCAGGAGAATTGCTTGAACCTGGAAGGCGGAGGTTGCAGTGAGCTGAGATCGCACAATTGCACTCCAGCCTGGGGGACAAGAGCGAGACTTCATCTCAAAAAAAAGAAAGAAAGAAAGAAAGAAAATAGAAAAACAATAGAGAAAATTAGCAAAACCACAAATTGGTTCTTTGGAAAGATCAACAGAATTGATAAAACTTTAGCTAGATTGACAAGGAATAAAGGAGAGGGGACTTAAATTATTAAAATAAGAAATGAAAGAGGGGAAATCACTACTGACCATACATAAATGAAAAGGATTTCAAGCAAATACTATGAACAACAGTATGCCAACAGATAGATAATTTAGATGAAACAATTTCCTAGAAAGACATAAAGTACCAAAACTGACTCAAGAAGATATAAAAAATTTGAAAAGAAATAAAACGGGATCAAATTAGTAACTTTAAAATTCCCCACAAAGAAAAGCCCAGAACCAAATGGCTTCACTGGTGAATTCTACCAAATATTGAAATAATAAAGAATTAATACCAACCCTTCACAAACTCTTCCAACAAATAGAAGAGAACACTTCCAACTCATTCTATAATTGTTCCCTGAAAAAATTGTATATGTAAAATGACCTCCAAATGCTGAAGGAGCCGAGAAGCCAAAGAAGGCAGACAAATCCAGTTTGTCAGTATAGGGTGATTAATTAGGAGGAACTTACAGATGGAAGCATGGTCTTGGGTGGCTGCAAGACAGGTAGATCTCTGAACCTCAACCCCGCAGACCCAGGGCTTATCTCATGGGGAAAAATACACACATGGTCTGGAAGGAATGTGTAGGTGGCTGAGAAAAGGCTGCAGGTATCACACCCTATAATGGATTCCACAGCATCAAGGGCTGTTTTGGAGGAAAGGCAAAATTTACAATGAATAGGTGTTCCTACCTAAAGAGTAATACATCAACTAGACATTTTGGAGTCATTCCCAGACTCAGGGTTAGTCAGAAGTTACATGACAGATTAGCATTTAAAATAAAGTCACTCTTGTCCCCACAATAATGTCAGTTTTACCCTGACACCAAAACCAAAGACCTCACAAGAAAACTACAGACCAATATCCCTTATGAACGTATACACAAAAATCCTAAACAAAACACTAACAAACAGAATACAGCGACATATCAAAAGAACTATACACTATGTCTGAGTGGGACTTATACCAGGAATGCAGGGTTGGCTTAACACCCAAAAATCAACTAATGTTATACATTATATTGCTAGAATAAAGGACAACAACTACATAGTTATCTAAACAGATGCAGAAAAAGCTGTTTGACAAAATCCAATACCCCTTCATGATACAATCATTCAGCAAACTAGGAACAGAAGAGAACTTCCTCAATTTGAAGTGAGCCCAAAAGTATCTGAGACAGGTCTCAATCAATTTAGAAAGTTTATTTTGCCAAAGGTTAAGGACATGCTTATGACACAGCCTAGGAGGTCCTAATGACATGTGCCCAAGGTGGTTGGAGTACAGCTTGGTTTTATACATATTAGGAAGACATGAGGCATCAATCAATACGTGTAAGATGCATATTGGTTTACTCCAGAAAGGCCAGACAACTTGAAGCAGGGGCTTTCAGGTCATAGGTGGATGAGACAAACAGTTGCATTCTTTTGAGTCGCTTTCTTTTTTTTAGACAGGGTATCACTTTGTCACCCAGGCTGAAGCACAGTGGCGCAATCTTGGCTCACTGCAGCCTCCACCTCCCGGGTTCAAGCGAGCCTCCTGCCTCAGCCCCCCAAGTAGCTGGGACTACAGATGTGTGCCACCATGCCCGGCTACTTTTTTTGTAAAGACGGGGTTTCACCACGTTGGCCAGGTTGGTCTCGAGCTCCAGCAGTCTGCCTGTCTTGGCCTCCCAAAGTGCTAGGAGTATAGGCGTGAGCACCCATGTCCGGCCACTTTTGAATCTTTGATCAGCCTTTCACTGCATATACAATTTACATGTGAGAGGGGGCTAAAGGAACAGTCACTTAACCCTTAGTCTGGCTCAGTGAATCTGCATTTTTACATAGACAGTAGGACAGAGGAAGCAAATCAGATATGCATTAGTGTCAGGTGAGCAGAGAGATGATGACTTTGAGTTCTGTCCTTTAGCCTGCACCTGTGAAGATAAGCTATCAATTTACATTGCCAAGGTGAAATTCAACAGAACTGTTTGGCCAACAAGGAATTTCCTTGTGGGCAAACTGTGAAGGAGGTATGTAGCTTTTTACAAAATCTTTTTCTTTTTGAGATGGAGTCTTGCTCTGTTGCCCAGCTTGGAGTGCAGTGGCGCGTTCTCGGCTCACTGCAACCTCCGCCTCCCAGGTTCAAGTGATTCTCCTGCCTCAGCCTCCCGAGTAGCTGGAATTACAGGCTCAAAACACCATGCCCGGCTAATTTTTGTATTTTTTTTTTTATTAGAGATGGGGTTTTACCATGTTGGCCAGGCTGATCTCAAACTCCTGGACTCAAGTGATCCACCTGCCTCAGCCTCCCAAAGTGCTGGGATTATAGCTGTGAGCCACTGCGCCTGGCCACTTTTTCAAAATCGTTGTAGCTATCTTATTTAGGAATAAAATGGGAAGAAGGTTTGCCTGATGCAGTTCCCAGCTACTCGGGAGGCTCAGGCAGGAGAATCGCTTGAACCCAGGAGGCTGAGGCTGCAGTGAGCTGAGATCGTGCCACTGCACTCCAGCCTGAGTGACAGAGTGACACTCCGTCTCCAAAAAGAAAAAAAAAAAGCATGTATGAAAAAGCCAGCCGAGCATGGTGGCTTGTCCCTGTAATTCTAGCACTTTGGGAGGCCAAGGCAGGCAGATCACTTGAGCTCAGAAGTTCAAGACCAGCCTGGGCAGCATGGCAAGACCCTGTCTCTACAAAAAAATACAAAAATTAGCCAGGCATGGTGGCGTGTGCCTGTGGTCCCAGCTATCTGGTGGGGCTGAGGTGGGAGGACGGCTTGATCCTAGGAGGTCAAGACTGCAGTGAGCCTTGATTGTGCCACTGCACTCCAGCCTGGGCAATAGAGTGAGACCCTGTCTCAAAAAAAAAAAAAAAAGAAAAGAAAAAGAATAGAAAACCCACAGCCGGCCGGGCGTGGTGGTTCATGCCTGTAATCCCAGCACTTTGGGAGGCTGAGGCGGGTGGATCACAAGGTCAGGAGTTTGAGACCAGCCTGGCCAATATGGTGAAACCCCATCTCTACTAAAAATACAAAAAAATTAGCTGGGCATGGTGGTGCACGCCTGTAATCCCAGCTACTCGGGAGGCTGAGGCAGGAGAATTGCTTGAACCCAGGAGGCAGAGGTTGCAGTGAGCCGAGATCGCGCCACTGCACTCCAGCCTGGGCGACAGAGCGAGATTCCATCAGCCCCTCAAAAAAAAAGGTCACTAAAGTTGGTATACAACACCCCACTGCTAAATTTGACTGGCTTTTAAAAAGATAGGCTAAGGATTTGAATATACAATTCTTCAAAGAAGATAAACAAATATCCCTTAGCACATGAAAAGATGCTCAACATCATTAGTCATTAGGAAAATGTAAATAAAAACCACAATATCATACCATTTCACACCCACTAGGGTTGCTAAAATAAAAAAGACAGGCAACAACATGTGTTGGTAAGGATAAAGAAACATTGGAACCCTTATACCTCGCTGATGGGATTGAAAATTGGTACAGCCAACTTGGAAGACAGTTTGGTAGTTACTCAAAATGTTAAATATAGATTCACCGTGTAACCCAGCAAGTCTGCTTCTATGTATCTAAAGATAAATGAAACCATATGTTCACATAAAACTTGTACAAGAATGTTCATAGCACTATTCATAATTGCTAAAAAGTAGGAAGAACCATGCCAGGCACGGTGGCTCACGCCTGTAATCCCAGCACTTTGGGAGGCCGAGGTGGGTGGATCACCTGAGGTTGGGAGTTCGAGACCAGCCTGGCCAACATGGCGAAACCCTATCTCTACTAAAAATACAAAAATTAGCCAGGCATAGTGGCCCGCGCCTGTAGTCCCAGCTACTCAGGAGGCTGAGGCAGGAGAACTGCTTGAACCCGGGAGGTGGAGGTTGCAGTAAGCCAAGATTGTGCCACTGCGCCCCAGCTTGAGCAACAGAGTGAGAATTCATCTCAAAAAAAAAAAAAGTAGAAAGAACCAAAATGTCCATCAATTAATGAATGGATAAACAAAATATGGCATATCCACACAAAGGAATATTATCTGGCAATAAAAAGGAATAAAGCGATGACACATGCTACAACATGAATGAACCTTGCAAACATGCGAAGTAAAAGAAGTCAGATACAAAAGACCATATATTGTATAATTCCACTTATATGAAATGTCTAGAATATGCAAACCTATAGAAACAGAGTAGACTGGTGGTTTCCAGAGGCTGGGGGAAGAGTGGGGACCAACTGCTAATGGGTACAGGATTTTTGGGGGGACAAAAATGTTCTAAAACTAGATTGTGGAGATGGTTCTACAACCCTGTGAATAAACTAGAAGACATCGAATGGTACACTTTAAATGGGTAGATTGTATGGTATGTGAATTATATCCCAATAAAGCAGTTAAGAAAATAGTTATTAAAACATATAATAGGTATATCCCAAGGGGGAGAAAGTTGTGGTGCATGAACTCAGCCCAGACAGGCTGTGTTAGTGGGGAGAGCAATGGATGAAGGAGGTGGTTGGAGCTGTAAAGTGTATAGGCCAAGAGTAGAGGTGGGGGCTGGGTCTTGAAGGAGAAACTGAGTGCACTGAAGAATTCTGCCTGCTTCACAGCGTTATCAAGGGCCAGCCTTTGGATGGTCTCTTGAAGAAGGTCCCAGAGCTTCGAGGAGGAGATTCTATGATGTCAGCACCTGACCTTTGTGACATAGGCACATGCTGCCAGGGGGGAACTGAACTCAGGGAATGGGGCCCCCAGCTCCCATTGGGGTCGGCGAACCTGGTGCCACCCCTTAGACAAAGTCCCAGTCTCCCAGAGGCTTTTACCAGCTGGCCCCATTCCTTCTGCTGCTGGGTATAATAAGGTATCTCTGTCTGGGCCAGGGTGAGCTAGAGGACATCAGCACTAGGGGCAATAAGGGGTCAGAGGAACCAGAGTGGCAGGACACTGGGATGCTTGCAGAACCCCCGAATCAGGATTAGGAGAATAAAAATCTGTACCACAGGCCTCCGCCTGGCTAAAGGAGGACTGAGGGCAAAACTCAGGGCTCAGACAGAAACCCGGGTCAGAGTGCACTTAGTGTTAGACGCTGGGGACAGAGAAAGGTGTATCCACCATTTGGTGACCCTGCTCCTCTCTCCCAGGTCCTCTCAACGCTGAAGTGCCTGTGAAACACAGCCCAGAGGAGTTCTCATTGGTAAGAGCGCTCAGCACCAGAACACCCTCAATTCCTGTTCCCATCTCAGCCCTTATCCCCCGAACCCCTCCTCCAACTCCATCCTACCCTCCCTTCCTCCTTATTCCTCTCCTCCCCACTTCTCACCTTCCCTGGAGCATTTTGCCAGTTCTTTTGATCCCAAAGGTGACATGGATTTAAAGTCTTGGTGAGTTCAGCTTGGAACTGGGGATATGAGGCAGAGCCAGAAATGGACCAATTCTCCCAATGTCTTGGGTTCTCTCTTTTCTCTCCAGGTCCTATGGGCTTTGTCTTCCTCTCTGCCCCACCCAGATAATCGCTGCTGCCCCTCCACTCCCAAGATGCAGCTGTGATTCTCCATCCCCACACATCCCTCATCAATGGTTGACTGCAAAGAAGTGAGAAGCCAAGCTTAGATTCATGCTCATGCCTGAACACCCTGAGAGCCTGGTGCTGGAGGGCTGGGTATCCCCTTGGCCTGCCACCAGCACCTGCACCCACACCAGGCTGGAGCCACGCTCTGCGCACAGAAGGTGGCCTTGATTTCTCAGGCACAGCTGACCTCAGAGATACTGGTCCTGACTCTGCCAGGTCTCTTATCCCTAGTCTTGTTGCCCCAGTTCCTTCTGGATTCAAGGCGATGTTGCCTCAAAACAAGGACCAGGTGCTGCCACAGACCTCAGTGCTCCCTGGGCGCCCCACTTGGGGCTTCTCACAACTTGTGGACTCCTCTCCTCACAACCTACAGCCTCTCTCTCCCCATCAGGGCCTCCCTCCCTCTCAACCACCGTTCTCTTCCACTCAGTCCCGTCGTCCCTCCTCCCCTCCACCAGCATCCCCCTCTCCTGGCTTCCAATTCGGCTCTTGTGACTCAAATTCTGACTTTGCTCCACATCCCTATTCTCCCTCTCTCCCAAGTTCCCCTACTTTCTTTCACCAGAACTACCTCTCTCTCCCCCGTCCACGTGCATCCTCTCCCTCCAACCACTGGCTGTACCCCTCTCCCCCTCTGACCCCTTCCTTTTCTCCCTCCCAGCCTCAGAACTCCTCCCTTCCCCACTCACCTTGCCAGTCCCCTTCCCACCCCGAGGAACTGCATAGCTCCACACTCACTTCCCCAGGCCCCAGCCCACCTTCTCATAGGCTCCACTCTAACAGGCAGACATGGCGCTGGCATCAGTACAGGGACACTGGGTCCGGGTCCCCTGGAGTGGTGGAGAGATGCGTGCCAAGCGAGAAGGATCCTGCACAGTTCAGGGACCCAGGGGCCCTGGCCCAGGCCCTGGTGGTCCAGCTGGGGCACCGCCGCATCGCACACGACCTGCGGCTACTGCTTTTGCAGCACCTGTGGCTAGGCAGAACCGGCCAGGCCCCAGTCGTGGAGTATCCTATATGCCTGGTGTGCCTCCGGCCCCGCAGCCCCTCCTGCCCCCTCCCCAGGTACAGGACTGGACCCCGGCTGCTTGCTTTCCCTCAACTACTGCCCTGTGTGCAGGGCCAGGAATCTGGGCCACTCCGGATAGGCATCGGCTTCGGCCTCCGCCTGCCTCAGGGCCAGGCCAGGGCCTTGCATCTGCTGCCCGAGAAAAGGCCGAAGGAAGCAGGGCCTCAGGGCAAGGCTACTCAGGCCTGTGGGCATCAATTGCCAGCATCTCAGCCTCCAGCAGCTCAGGCCCGGGCCGACCCAGTCCCAGGCACACCCTCCCAGACCAGGAGCTTCAGGTCTGCAGGCCTTCAATCACCAAACTCCCCACGATGTTTCTCCGGGCCTCCACCTCGGGCACCAAAACAGGTCACTACCTCCCTGAAGCCCAGGCCTTGCCCTGGCCCAAAGAGGCCAGTTTCTCTGGAGCTCATTCTCCAAAAGTCATCAGTCTAGTTCCAGAGCCACGGAGGCCCCCTGGAACACCCCCTCCAAACCCAACCCTCCCAACCAGGCCCCAGATCTCGGGGAGTCCCCGAGACACCCTGAAGGGCTGGCTGGCCGGAGGTCAGGTGTGTTCTCCTGCTCTGAACCCTGGGAGCCCCTTGTGGAGTCTGCTGTCTCCAGGCTGAAGAGGACCAAGGGCACCAAGGCCCCATTCAGCCCTCCGTGTATCTAATAAAGTCTGACCCTGTGAAACTTGTGTTTGCGTCCTGCTGAGTCCACAGAATAGGTGGCTGTAACTATAGGGGTGCCAGTCCCTAACAAGACCCTTGGTGGCGGGGAGGGGGTGGTTCATGCCTATAATCCCAACACACTGGAAGGCTGAGGTAGGAGGATCACTTGAAGCCACGAGTTTGAGACCAGCCTGGGCAACATAGCAAGACCCTGTCTCTCCAAAAACAAAAATATAAAAAAATTAGCTGAGTATGGTGGCGCGTGCCTGTACTACCAGCTACTCAAGAGGCTAAAGTGGGAGGATCACTTGAGTCCAGGAGTTCAAGGTTGCAATGAGCTATATCATGCCATTGCACTCCAGCCTGGGTGACAGAGACCCTATCTCAAAAAAAAAAAAAAAAAAAAGAGGGCATGGTGTGGTTGCTCATGCCTATAATCCCAGCACTTTGGGAGGCCAAGGTGGGCATATCATTTAAGGTCAGGAGTTACGAGACCAGCCTGGCCAACATGGTGAAACTCCATCTCTACTAAAAATACAAAAATTAGCTGGGTGTGGTGGCGGGTGCCTGTAGTTCCAGCTACTCAGGAGGCTGAGGCAGGAGAATCACTTCAACCTGGGAGGTGGAGGGTGCAGTGAGCTGAGATCAGGCCACTGCACTCCAGACTGGGCAACAGAGCGAGACTCCGTCTCAAAAAATAAAAAAGACCCTGGAGGGTGGTGTCAAAGGAAACGGAGAGGCCAGAAAGAGCAGGTGCCATGTATCCAAGGAGGACAAGGGACCCACAAGGCCTGGGGACTTGAGATATGCAGAGAGCTTGGCCAGGCCCTTCACACATCTAATTCAACTCTGTGGGACAGATATTGGCATCCCCAAAGATGAAGCCACTGCGCTATTCCTCTGGGTGCACCTTAGGTTAATGAGAATGCAGGAGAGGGCGTCTCTTTGCAGGGAAGGACATCCCTTGTGCTCGCTCTCAGGAGTGCACAAAGGTCCTCATCAGATCAGAAACCCGAGGGAGAATGGAGTGTCAGGCGCAGAAGATACCTGCCCGGGAGCCAAACTGCCCCCTCTGAGGCCAGCAAAGCAGCTGGCCACCCACCAAGCCACCAGCCCAGGAGTGTGAAGCCTTGAGAAAGGGAATGGCAGACACCACCCCTGCCAAAAGTGGGCGATAGGCGTTAAGGATGACAGACGTGTCCTCATACGAGGAAGCAATGGATTCAGCATTTGAAGTCAGGTTTATTTTTAAGTTCATGCTGCCTCCGTTAAGAAGCAAGAGACTCCGGTGGTTTCTGGTGTGTGCCCTCGGGCAAATCACTTCCTCTCTGAGGTAAGATGCAAAGGCCTGTGCTCCTAGGAGTTGGCATATCACTCCTCAGATGGGAACAGTCCTTATTTGAGGATTTTATGTGTGTGAGAGACAGGGTCTAGCTCTGTTGCCCAGGGGCTGGAGTGCAGTGGTGACATCACTGGTGGTCCAGCGCAGCCTCGACCTCCCAGTCTCAAGTGATCCTCCCGCCTGAGCCTCCTGGGCACCTGGGCCCACAGGTGCCACGATGTTTGGCTAATTTTTAAATATTTCGTAGGGACGGATCCCCATGTTGCCCAGGCTGTCTCGAAAGCCTGGGCTCAAGCCATCCTCCTCTCTCGGACTTTCCGAAAGTGTTGGGATTACAGGAGGATTACAGGCATGAACCACCGTGCCTGGCAGAGGATTTTTTTTTTTTTGAGACGGAGTTTCACTCTTGTTGCTTGTTGCCCAGGCTGAAGAGCAATGGCAATGGCGCGATCTCGGCTCACTGCAACCTCTACTTCCCAGGTTCAAGTGATTCTCCTGCCTCAGGCTCCCGAGTAGCTGGGATTACAGGCGCACGCCACCACGCCCTTTGTATTTTTGGTAGAGACGGGGTTTCTCCATGTTGGTCAGGCTGGTCTCGAACTCCTGATCCGCCCGCCTAGGACTCACAAAGTGCTGGGATTACAGGCGCGAGTCGGATTTCTTTATTAAAGGTTGACCTTCATCAACCTCCATTGGCTCCACCTCCTCCGCCCGCGCCCCGCGCCCCGCACAAAAATGGCGAAGTCGGTGCTGGGCGACTCTGCCTCCGCGCCAGGGGTGGAGAACCGAAGCCCCGCCCCGGGAAACGCGGCCCCGCGGCCGGCTAGTGCTGACGCGTGTCGGCGCTCCTGCGCCTGCGCGGAGGGAGCCGCGAGACAGGTGCGCATGCGCAGTGCGCGTCTGCGAGACCGACTTGGACGGAGCCGAGCTGAGGCTCGGCTTCCTGCTGATGGTCAGGGTTTTGGCAACTCCCCGGTGTGAGAGGGGTAGGGAGTGCTCCCGGCGGCGACGGGGCCGAGTTCACCAGCCGCCGGGGCAGTAGTCGAAGGCCCGGCGCGGCATGTCCTGGGTGCCGCGGTGCGGGCAGTGAACGCGCGCCGGGCGGGATGGGCCGGCGCCGGGCGCCAGAGCTGTACCGGGCTCCGTTCCCGTTGTACGCGCTTCAGGTCGACCCCAGCACTGGGCTGCTCATCGCTGCGGGCGGAGGAGGCGCCGCCAAGACAGGCATAAAGAATGGCGTGGTGAGAGCGCAGGGCCACTGGGGCTGGGTCTTGCTGCGGGCTGGCGGCGATTCCAGGGTGGCCGGGGGGTCGCGGGGCGGGCCACACTCCAGCTTCGGGCCCTGCCCACTTCTGTTGGGAAGACCCGCTTGCCTGACGCCCAGGGGCGAATTTCAGTCGAGAACTCAGCGGGCGGAGGAGAGGCTTTTAAGGTAAAGTGAAAACTGCACACAGCTGCAGAGTCGCCAGGAACGCTTCAGCTCCGCCTCAGAGCAGCTCCAGGGGTCTTATACTGGCCTTTTCCGGGAGGTCTTGCCTGCCCTCTAGCAGCGGCGAGAGTGGTGCATTTGGGTTTAGGCTAAGTTCCTTCCCTCTCCTGAGCTTCACCCTGTTCTGTAAAATAGAGGTAATAATCCCAGTCCTGCTCACTGTGTAGATTTGTGAGGCCCAAATGAGAGAAAAAAGACTCGAGAAACCCTTGTGAACTAGAACGTGCAGAAAGCAAAGGGGTAAGACATCAGACTCTTCCCTAAACGTGCTCTCTGGGCACCCCTGAACTTGCTCATCCGGGTTCCCCCTCCCACAGCACTTTCTGCAGCTAGAGCTGATTAATGGGCGCTTGAGTGCCTCCTTGCTGCACTCCCATGACACAGAGACACGGGCCACCATGAACTTGGCACTGGCTGGTGACATCCTTGCTGCAGGGCAGGATGCCCACTGTCAGCTCCTGCGCTTCCAGGCACATCAACAGCAGGGCAACAAGGCAGAGAAGGCCGGTGAGGAGCTCCCTCTCTACCCCCTTGGGGAAAGGGTTGAACGAGTAAGGTCACTCTTGGTGTCTCTAAAGAAGTGGGTCTGGAAGTAGGGTTTTGGTAGCAAGCTAGAAGTTGTATGGGCACCTGCCATGGAGAGAGGGGCCAGTACTCCTTACTGTAGAAGCCTGGAACCTGGCCAAGTGTTTGTGTTACAGGTTCCAAGGAGCAGGGGCCTCGACAAAGGAAGGGAGCAGCCCCAGCAGAGAAGAAATGTGGAGCGGAAACCCAGCACGAGGGGCTAGAACTCAGGGTAGAGAATTTGCAGGCGGTGCAGACAGACTTTAGCTCCGATCCACTGCAGAAAGTTGTGTGCTTCAACCACGATAATACCCTGCTTGCCACTGGAGGAACAGATGGCTACGTCCGTGTCTGGAAGGTGTGGGTTTGCAGGGTTAGGGAGGGTGAATGTCAGTAGCAACAGGATCAAAATTGTGAGAAGTTGAACGTGGCATCTGGGAAACTTGTGAATGAAGCTTGCATTGAGGGGCCATTAGAAGGGGTGGCGTGGGCATCAGTCACAGTGTACTTGCTGGACACCTGAGTTAACCATGGTGGTTGTTTGGCTACAGGTGCCCAGCCTGGAGAAGGTTCTGGAGTTCAAAGCCCACGAAGGGGAGATTGAAGACCTGGCTTTAGGGCCTGATGGCAAGGTGAGGGGCTGGGGGTGGGAGGAGGATGGAGAAAGGAGAGAGGAGGTGCTTATGCTGCTTGCCCAGTAAGTGGATCCCCTAACTGTCCATCCTTGGAATCTTTATTCCTAACTAGTTGGTAACCGTGGGCCGGGACCTTAAGGCCTCTGTGTGGCAGAAGGATCAGCTGGTGACACAGCTGCACTGGCAAGAAAATGGACCCACCTTTTCCAGCACACCTTACCGCTACCAGGCCTGCAGGTGTGAAGACTTTGGGTGGTGGCTGAAAGAGGCATAGCCCAGCTGTGGTGGGGGAGAGGGAAAAGACTGGGGATGGGAGAGCTGGGGAGGAACTTGTTGAGTGTTACCCCAGGTCTGACCAGGGTGCAGGTGGTGCACAAACCTCTGAGGAGGGTTGGGCAGGCCCTAGGAGCTGAATAGCCCCTCATCCGGCCCCCAGGTTTGGGCAGGTTCCAGACCAGCCTGCTGGCCTGCGACTCTTCACAGTGCAAATTCCCCACAAGCGCCTGCGCCAGCCCCCTCCCTGCTACCTCACAGCCTGGGATGGCTCCAACTTCTTGCCCCTTCGGACCAAGTCCTGTGGCCATGAAGTCGTCTCCTGCCTCGATGTCAGGTGTGAGACATTGCTGCCTTGGCTAGGTAGGGGGTCCCTGAGGGAGCTTGGAAAGGAGTCCTGCCTGGGTCCCTACGGACCGGTATTGGGGTATGAGGGTTGCTGCACAAGCCTCCAGGACAATGAGCTCTTTATTGTTTGTTGCAGTGAATCCGGCACCTTCCTAGGCCTGGGCACAGTCACTGGCTCTGTTGCCATCTACATAGCTTTCTCTCTCCAGGTAATGGGTGGAGGTTGGCATGGCCCTGTGGGTGGACTGTAGGCCTGTCTCTACCCTGAGTTTGCAGGAAGGAGTCTGGCCCATCCTATCGAGGGAAATCCTGGGGGTGGGGAACATGCTTTCCAGAAAGAGAGTTCCCAGCTAGGCCTTTCCTCACTGGTATTCCTTCTGCCCACAGTGCCTCTACTACGTGAGGGAGGCCCATGGCATTGTGGTGACGGATGTGGCCTTTCTACCTGAGAAGGGTCGTGGTCCAGAGCTCCTTGGGTCCCATGAAACTGCCCTGTTCTCTGTGGCTGTGGACAGTCGTTGCCAGCTGCATCTGTTGCCCTCACGGCGTGAGTCATTGGGGCAGGGCAGGCAGGCACCACCCCACGTTTAATGACCAGAAACGTGCCCCCCGGAGGCTGGGCTCTTTGTGCCACTCCTCCTTTGAAGGGTTCTGGTTTTCAGGCTGGGAAGCCCTTTTGCCCGCTGACCTCCTCCCTTTCCCTCCTGCAGGGAGTGTTCCTGTGTGGCTCCTGCTCCTGCTGTGTGTCGGGCTTATTATTGTGACCATCCTGCTGCTCCAGAGTGCCTTTCCAGGTTTCCTTTAGCTTCCCTGCTTCCTGGGAATCAGGAGCCTGGACACTGCCATCTCTAGAGCAGAGTGGAGGCCTGGACTCCCTTTGCTCACTCCATTCGGGTCCACAGCTGAGGTTGCCGCTGACAAGATGAATGGGCACTGCCTGCCCTTCTAGTGAAAAGGCTTGGCTATGGCCCTGTGTGACTCCAGGTCCCAGGAACCTTGCCTTCGTCATCTGTGGATCCATCCAGAACAGCGGTATCTGAAGCCCAGGCCATACTCCCTGCCTCCTTTCTTCTGCCTACCAGAGGCTCCAGAGTTGAGCTTGTCCTTATCTAGAAACATGTGAAGATGCCCAAGAGCCTGGAGGCACTGCTGTCCTTCCTGCAGAAACAGTTTCTCCTCCTCCCCTCAGCCTTGTGGCCAGTTCCTCTTCACATGAAGCCCCTGGCATTTGCTGGGGAAGGGACTGGCCTGGTACTTGCTGTTAGGGCAGGAAGGGGCAAAAGGAAGACTTGGGTAGTAATCTGGGGGTTCAGATGGGTAGCACTAAGCCAGCTGGCCTAAAGATGCAATAAGTTCCTAGGTAGTCTACCCTTACCTTGAGGAATGGGAAAATGAACCTCAGCCCATTAGGCAGGAAAAGTTGATATTTAATAAACAAGGAAAGAGTGAACTGAGACCCCAAATGGTACTCTTGTCAGCTGTTTCTGTCCTCAGAAGGTAAGAGAGCCCTGAGGTCAGGCAGCCCCTCTGGGTCCTGGAAGATGGCTTTGGCGTACTGATGCAAGAGGCGGCTCATGTACCAGTGCTGCCACGGGAGCAGCCCTTCCAGGAAGCCGATGTGGCCACCCCGGGCTGTGATGAGCAGCGCAACGTAGGGGGAGTGTTGGGCGGCCTGTATGGGAAGGGCTAGGAGAGGGTCAGAGGTTAGAAACACTGGCCTTCACTGGGAGCCCAGGCTGTCTGTTGCGTCCCTCATGGCCCATTTTCCTTGGGGCCAAAGTGTCCTGAATCAGAGTACTCACCACAGACGGGGGAGAAGGGGTCATCTGCTGCACTGAGATAGAGCACAGGGATCCGGATGGCATCTATCTTGGTTCTAGGGCTTGCTGCTTTGTAGTAGGTAACACAGTCTTGATATCCAAAGGCCACAGATGTGTAGCGCTCATCAAACTGGCGGATTGTACGGGCCTGCAGGTCTTACCATAGGATAGGCTAAGATGATAAAGAATAGGAAGATAGTGGAAGACTCATTTGGGGGAACCAGGGGCATGGCTGAATATTATACCTGTAGTACAAAGTCTATGTCCACCACCTTTTCAATCACCTTTCTGTTTCTGCAAAAGTACATAAGAGTTTGGCTTGACACCTGGATCTGATCCCCCACCCCCAGGCCCTGTCTTACTATCTCATGTGTGAGGAAGCCCAGAGAGAACTGACCAAGCACTAGGAGAGCCTGGAGTGTCTGCCATCCTACTCTGTCTACTGCCTCCTCCCACTTGCCACGACCCTACCGTTCCACAAGTTGGCAGAGCCCAGCAGTGAGGGGCTGATTGAAGAGCAGTGAGTTGAGTGGGGTTTCCAGGGAGCGAGTGGTCTCAAAGGAATCCCAGCATGCAGACAGAGTCAGTGCTGCCACCAGCCCTGCAGCCTGCCTGGCCTGTGCCAGGTGATTCAGCACCAGTATCCTGTGGAATTGGACAAGGGACCATGAAAGAAGGGTTTGCATTAATGTGGGTTGGGACAGAGGAAGGGGACATGGAGGAGGAAAAAAAGGAAGACTGGGCCTCTGGGCTAAGCCCAGGCAATCTTTACCCTCCAAAAGAGATGCCCACGGCCAGCAGTGGAGCTTGGGGATAACGATGCTTTATGTGGTTCACGACTGTCTCTAGATCTTCAGTATTGCTGGCACAAAAAGCCCTGTGGGTCTGAGGGCAAACCAGATCATTGGGTAGGGAGGGAGACCGTGGCCAGAAGGTGGAGGGGAAACTGAGGAAGGATAGGTAGGAGGTGAGCCCCAGGGCCAAGGATCTCTAAAGGGAGTGGGTGAAGGGCTGCTATGAGGAAGGCAGCTACTCACCCGCAGTTCCTCCCCACGGCAGCCCCGGTTGTTAAACACGACAGCCCTGTGGCACACACAGGTACATCTTAGCCAGACCCTTCTTAGCCCCTCTCCCCTTTCAGTATTCAGAAAGACCCCTGTCCAAAGACTCCCTTTGTGTAGCATTCTTCTTATCTATCAGTGTCCGGATTGACTTCTCCCTAATACACGTTCTCAGATGCCACCCCACTCTGGGGCTGCACCCATCCTTACTGGTAGCCATCCCTCAGAGCTTGGTTAACTAGGTGCAAGACGTATGTCTCCTGGCTACTGCCAGTGATGCCAGGAAGCAGCAGCACAATGGGCTGGGTAGTAGGATCAGGGTCTTGGCTGCTGTCAGGCTGCTTGGCCCAGTCTAGCAGGAGCTGGCCTCCATCTGGTGTTTGGAGGATGTCACTGGTTTTGGAGGAAGAGGCACACAAAGATACTATTAAGAACTTAATGTAATTCAAAAGCTTTGCCCCCTGCCCCACCCACAAACAAGTCTTATCACTTCCCGTCAGCATCATCTGAGGGTGTTCTTCATGTAAAACAGTAAGGCTTGACAATGTGTGATGGGGACATAAAAGATGACCTGGTGGCCGTGCAATTATATAGCCCTTCCATATAACATCCATTGTCATTGAACCCTCAACACAGGGATGTAGATGAGGCAGATTACCTACATTTTAAAAGTGGTAGATAGGTTTTTCCCTAGATACCTGGGGTTTCATGTTCACCCTGTTCTGTCCCTTCTTACCTCTGATAAAGGACTAGGGGCTGAGACTGCAGGAGGACTTGGAAGATGCTTTGTAGTCGCCCCTCAAAACACCACAGCGTTGGGTAGAAAGTCTCGGTGGTGATGGAACAGTGTGGCTCCAGGAAGGCCAGAAACTGCGGCCCAGCCACCAGCCGAGGCCTCTGTAATCACACAGCAGTCTGCCCCACTTCCCTGACTTTTGCACCAAGCTAGTGAGGCACCCAACACCAGAGGGTGAGGGGGCCCCCTCTCCAGAGCCCAGCCTGGAGGACCCTGCTTTGTCTGCATGTGAGATACTCAGCACAGCTCAGTTGAATGGCCAAGTCTGATAATACACTCCAGCTAGAGCCCCTAAAAAACCCAGTCCTGGAGTGTCACTGCCCAGAATTGACCCTGAACTGGGAGCTGCTGAGTTGACTGAGTGCTGACTTTCCTGCTCAGCCTATCCATGCCCCAAACCCATTTTGGAGAGAGCAGGTGATGTAAACAGCCACGCTCAGTGGTGTGCGCCTGTGGTCCCAGCCACTTGGGAGGCTGAGGTGGGAGGATCACTTGAGCCCAGGAGTTCAAGGCTGCAGTGAGCTATGATAGCACCACTGTACTCTAGCCTGGGCGACAGTGAGACCCTGTCAATAAGTGCCCAGCTGATCCCCTGCAGAAAAAGTCGGGGTTCTGGGCAGGGGCTGAAGAAATGCAGCACCATTCAATCTTCAGCCTTTACTTTGCAGTTGAAAATGAAGCCGGCCGGGCGCAGTCGCTCATGCCTGTAATCCCAGCACTTTGGGAGGCCGAGGTGGGTGGATCACAAGGTCAAGAGATG
Organism: Homo sapiens; assembly: GCF_000001405.40. Lineage (NCBI taxonomy): Eukaryota > Metazoa > Chordata > Mammalia > Primates > Hominidae > Homo > Homo sapiens. Next base: position 27,127,781 of record NC_000002.12, on the reverse strand, counting down.
GAGACCATCCTGGCCAACATGGTGAAACCCCGATTCTACTAAAAGTACAAAAATTAGCCAGGCATGGTGGTGAGCACCTGTAGTCTCAGTTACTCGGGAGGCTGAGGCAGGAGAATCACTTGAACCCGGGAGGCAGAGGTTGCAGTGAGCCGAGGTTGTGCCACTGCACTCCAGCCTGGTGATAGAGCGAGACACCATCTTTTTTTTTTCTTTTTTTTTTTTTTTTTTGAGACAGAGTCTCGCTCTGTTGCCCAGGCTGGAGTGCAGTGGCGCAATCTCGGCTCACTGCAAGCTCCACCTCCCGGGTTCACGCCATTCTCCTGCCTCAGCCTCCCAAGTAGCTGGGACTACAGGCGCCCGCCACCACGCCTGGCTAATTTTTTGTACTTTCAGTAGAGACGGGGTTTCACTGTGTTAGCCAGGATGGTCTCGATCTCCTGACCTCATGATCCGCCCGCCTCGGCCTCCCAAAGTGCTGGGATTACAGGCGTGAGCCACTGTGCCCAGCAACACCGTCTTAAAAAAAAAAAAAAAAAAAAAAAAAAGATGAAGCTACACTGTCTTCTTCCTAAGACTGACTCTGGCCACTCTGGCTCCTGATTTTAGCACCACTTCATCTGTATATTCCTATTCTCTAATGTTCTTGCTCACTGCCAAGGGGTTTTTTTGAGACACAGTTTCACTCTGTCGCCCAGGCTAGAGTGCAGTGGCGTGATCTCGGCTCACTGCAAGATCTCTGCCTCCCGGGTTCACACGATTCTCCTGCCTCAGCCTCCCGAGTAGCTGGGACTACATGTGCCCGCCACCACACCTGGCTAATTTTTTTTTTTTTTTTTGTATTTTTAGTAAAGATGGGGTTTCACTGTGTTAGCCAGGATGGTCTCGATCTCCTGACCTCGTGATCCGCCCACCTCGGCCTCCCAAAGTGCTGGGATTACAGGTGTAAGCCACTGCGTCTGGCCTAAGGGGCTTCTTTCTACCGGGGACCTTATCTTCTCTTACTTGTGGGGCCCCTGCTGTTAGATTGTGCTCTAAAGGAAGAACAGCCCTAATGTGAATCGATTTTTTTCTTCCTTCATGCCAGCTAGGGGGAAGGTGACAAGGATGAAATAACAGGGACAGATGAGGTCAGTGGGCACTAAGCCCTGACTTTCAGCTTCTCTGCTGTGTTCTGGACAGACATCAAGTGAATGAGAGAGCCTAGCCACGTGGAAGGCATGTGAAGGAGGAGTATGCCATAGGTTCAAGAATAGAAACTGCATATCCGCAGTGGGCCCTAAGGAACATGAGGACCAGATTTCTATCTCCAGTACAGTTCCTATAGTCTACAGGGGCAAATGGTAGAGATGCCAAGTCGATAGTGCAACTGTTGGGAGATGTGACTTTGGACCCTAGTCCTTAAGCCCTGGAATTACGACAGCTGTCAGTCGTGTGAAGGCACTGGGCTAAGCCCAAACTTATGAGATATTTTATAAGTGAAGAAGTTATGACTGACAGAGATTAAGTGGTTTGTCCAGTTACACAGCAAGCAAGAGGCAAAACAAAATTATTAACTATGACATTACCACCAGTACTTGTAGGTAAGATTTGTTGAGTTCTCATTAAGCTCCAGGCATTCTGCTAAGCACTTCACACAAATTTTGTCTTGTGATTTTCATAACAGTTCCATGAAATAGGTTCTGTGATCCCCCTATGTGAACGGATTTGAATGCTGAATAACTTGTCAAGGGCCAGAAGCTTGCCAGAGCTAGTTAGTGGCAGAGCAGGAGATTCAAACCCAGGTCTGTCTGACTCTAGAGCCTGCGCTGTCTAGTCACTGTCGGGTATTGCCTCCTAATTGCCAAGATTTTGAGTTGCTATCCTTTTTTTTTTTTTTTTTTTGAGACGGAGTTTTGCTCTGACACCCAGGCTGGAGTGCAGTGGTGCCATCTCAGCTCACCGCAACCTCCGCCTCCTGGGTTCAAGCGATTCTCCTGCCTCAGCCTCCTGAGTGGCTGGGATGACAGGCTTGCGTCACCACACCCAACTAATTTTTGTATTTTTAGTAGAGATAGGGGTTTCACCATGTTGGCCAGGCGGGTCTCGAACTCCTGACATCAAGTGATTCGCCCGCCTCAGCCTCCCAAAATGCTGGGATTACAGGCATGAGCCACTGTGCTCGGCTGAGTTACTATCAGTTTATTAATTCCTTGGTCAAACGGCCCAGTAGTGTGGAACAAGACTTATAAATTTGTTCACAGGTTTGATTTATGTGGGTTAATTTGATTTTAACTCAAGAAAATGTTTCTTGACTCCCTCCTGAGAATGAATTAGTATTACAATATGGCACTGGTTGCTATGCTTAAATCAGTATAGATCCATTACAGTGCTGGCCAATCCAAACACCGTATCTAGAGGGCCTCCAGAATGGCACTTTTCCTGCATTTTAACCAGTATTCGTTAGCTTATAAAGGGTTTAGTCTATAAAGCAGCAGGGGCCCAGATTTCTGTGCAGCTAGTTGCAAGTAAAGGAAAGTGTTTCCTTAGGGGCAGTTTTGTTCTGAAGTGACCTTCCAAATCTGATGTATAAAGTGAGGCCTACAGAGTATTGTGAGGCTTGGAGTTTTTAACTGTTTTATTAAGGAAGACTTTTTTTTTTTTTTTTGAGACGGAGTTTCACTCTTGTTGCTCAGGCTGGAGTGCAATGGCACGAGGCTCATTGCAACCTCCGCCTCCCAGGTTCAAGTGATTCTCCTGCCTCAGGCTCCCGAGTAGCTGGGATTATAGGCATGTGCCACCATGCCTGGCTAATTTTTGTATTTTTAGTAGAGATGGGGTTTCTTCATGTTGGTCAGGCTGCTCTCGAACTCCCGACCTCAGGCGATCCTCCCGCCTCTGCCTCCCAAAGTGTTGGGATTACAGGCGTGAGCCACCACACCCGGCCCTAAGGAAGACATTTAGTAAACAATATATGCTAATGTAGAAAGCTCTGAAAATATGGAAAAGTCTAGGTAACACTAAAGTCTCCTATAGACCTTTTTAAAGGACTCGAACCAGTAGGTGTCTTGTTAGACTCAGCTACCTAGAACAGAGTTTAATGAAGATGAAGAGATTTGGCTTTTCCTGGATATGTAAATTATGTATATATCTAAATTTCAGTGAGAAAAGTCTCCAAATTCATCAAAATCAACCTCTTCAAACTTTCTCATCACACTCACTATATGGAGAGCCTGGAACATAAAACGGCTGAATGAGCAAGGACAGTTGGGGTCATCCATCAGTTCTGAGCTAGGCCAGTTCTGACCTCAGCCAGCCCTTAAGGGAAGGGAGGTCCTACTAAGCTATTTGGGGGGTGGGTGGTATTGGGAGTTAGCCATGACCCACAGACCTCTGGTTCCTTCCTTCAGTGCAGCTGAAAGACTCAGCTAAACCACCTAAAAAGGAACGCAAAGTGTGCACATCTCTGATACCTCAGGATGCCTTCCACCCCACCTTTCCCCAAATGCTTGTCCACATTATAGGGAGCAGCACCCTCCGGTACCCAAAAGGCCCAGCTGGCATGGGGATCACATGGGATGCAGAGGCACTAGAGAGGCAGAGCCGACTCTCCATTCGGTGGTAGCAAATTTCACCTGTGGGGAAGCCCAACCATCCCAGTTCCCACCAAGGGCCCAAGCCCGTGTCTGGAAGCTGCCCCCTACACCCAAACCCGCTGGCCAGAGCGGTGGACCCGCACCCACCTGAAGCACACATGCCCAGTAGTAGCCCAAGTAGAGGGCAACGGCAAGAGCCAAGAGCAGAGAGAAGGTGTCTGCCCAGGTGCCATTCTGGGGGCTCAGGAAGGAGCTCAGCATCTTGTGTTGGGGGCTTCCGACCCTCAGGCTCCTGGCTGGCCCCAGTTGGCCGGCTGTAACTCGCGGTCCCACCCGCCGCCCGCCATAGGCGGCCTGTGCAGGTCCGGTCCCCGCTGCAGGCAGTTTGCGCTGCTGGCCCCGCCCACCGCCGGTGCCCCGGGATGGGCGGCGAGAGGCGGCGCTAGTTGGTCGCGGGGCTGGGTGGCTGGTCGCCTAGTGCCTCGCGCGGATCTAACCCGAGTGACCTGCGAATGGCCTCCCGCCCTCCCCTGCCTTCTTCCCCTCCGCGGTTCTTGGCTGTGCAGCCCGAGACAAGCGGCCTCCCCCAGCTGCCATCTTGGTGCGGGGCATCTCCAGCTCCCTTAAACTCTTCCCCGGCGACGCCCCGAGTCCAGCAGCCTGGCCAGAGTCCCTTAGGCGCTCGCAGTCAGTCACGCACAGGACACAGCTACTCCTGCAGTGACATTCTGCTCTGTCACACACTACAGCCATTCACAGTGACCCTCACCAGTCACTGTCCGACTGTGACACCCCACACTGTCACAAAGCTTTCAGCTGCTCAGTGGTGGCATTGCAACACATGCACCTTCCTGCAGTGTCACTCTGCATTGTCTCATACAGTCCCTGCCACACAGTCCTCGTACAGTAGATAATTTGCTCACCACCCGCCCTGTACCAGGCACTTGATACAGACCCCCCATGTTACTGTCCGTGTCTTCATTGAAATATAGGAGGTCGTCTACTAAGAGTAGTGGCTTTCAACCTTGACTGCAGATCGGAATCATCTAGGATTTTTAAAACTACCAGTGCCCAGGCCCTACCCCCGATACAGTTAGTCTGGAGAGGAGCCTAGGTATCAATACACCGTAAAGCTTCTAGGAGGTCCACAAGTCATCAGGGCTTAACATGGTCCACACAAGAGAAGTACCAGCTGCCATGGGAGCACTGCGGAGGTGCCCGGACTTCACGCGAGGGTGTTCTAGCAGAGGGGGCAGCAAAGGCAAAAGCCTGGAGGTGAAGGATGTCTTAAGGGAACAAAGAAAGTTGGTGTGGCTGGAGCATGTGGGTGGTCAAGGACCACATAATTGCTGCAGTTTATCCTAGGGTCAGAGGAAAGCCATCCAGGGGTTTTAAGAAGGGAAGGGTGACATGAGTTATGTTTTAGGAGAATCATTCAGTTGCTTGGAGAATAGATTGGAGGAGGAGGAAAGTAGAAGCAGAGAGGCCACTGGGAGGCTGCTAACAGAACGCCAGGCTCAAAAGATGCCCGGACTGGAGGATACCCAGGAGAGGAGTGAAGATCTTCAAGATCAGTGGCAGAATTGATAGGACCTGGTAGTAGATTGGAGGCAGGGGAAGAAGGAGGAACATGGATGACCTCCAGGTTTCTGACTGCACAGATATAAAGTGTCCATCCCTGGGACAGGGAAACAGAGGAGAGGAAGGTTTGAAGAGGAAGATGATGCATTTAGACACAGACATGTAGAAGTTGGGGTGCTGGTAGGTGTTTTAACTGTGTTTCCTTAGGTTCTGTATTTGTCTATTTGGCATCCATAAATCACAGGGCCAACCTAATGGCCAAGGTTGTTTACATCTCCCCTACAATCCAGAGCTCACACTCTGAGCACTTCCTTTCTCTAACTTTCACATTCCAAGCCAGTATCTCCCCTGCCCTAAATCAACCCAGGACCAGGTAACCAGGACCTGTCCCTGTGCCCCAGAGCACTCTGGAATTATTCAAACTAGCCAGTCCCAAACTGCTTCTCCTGCCTTACTGGGAGAAGTAAACCCCAATAAAGGCCTGTACCTTCCCTTCGCTTCTTTCTGCCTCCTGAGTGACACTGGCACTTCCCCCTGTGACCGTGCCTTTTGTTTCTAGGGGAACTGCAAATAACATTAAGCTTTTCTTTCAATAGCAGTGACCTCTTCATGTCCTCACTCAGCCACCTTTATAAATTAAAACTCAGGCACAAATTAGTAGGATATTCAATGCCTGAAGTGGCCTGGGGCTTAGAGATTGGAGGTGGAGAATTGGCAATCATCAGCATTTAGGTGGTGTATTAGTTGGCAGTTTGCTGTAAGAAAGCACTACAAACTGGGTGTCTTAAACCAGGGGTCCCCAACCCCCTGGGCTGCAAATTGGTACTGGTCCATGACCTGGTAGGAACCAGGTGGCATAGCAGAAGGTGAGCAGGATGAGCAAGCATTACTGCCTGAGATCAGCAGTGGAATTAGATTCTCATAGGAGCGCAAACCCTATGTGAACTGCACACAAGAAGGATCTAGGTTGCGTGCTCCTTATTAGAATCTAATGCCTGTTGATCTGAGGTGGAAGTTTCATCCCAAAACCATCACCCTCACCCCCAACCCTTCTGATCTGTGGAAAGATTGTCTTCTCTGAGGCTGGGCACGTGGCTCACGCCTGTAACGCCCAATGCTTTGAGAGTTCAAGGCAGGCGGATCACCTGAGGTCAGGAGTTCGAGACCAGGCTGGCCAACATGGTGAAACCTCGTCCCTACTAAAAAAATACAAAAAAAGAAAAAAAAAAGAAAAAAAAAAAAAGATTGTCTTCTCTGAAACTGGTCCCTGGTGCCAAAAAGGTTGGGGACTGTCTTAAACAACAGAGATTTATTGTCTCACACTTCTGGAGACTAGAAGTCAAGACTGAAATATCAGTAGGGTGGGTTCATTCTGGGAACCGTGAGGAATAATCTATTCCATGCCTCTCCCCTGGCTTCTGGCATTTTGCTGGAAATCTTTGGCACTCCCTGACTGGTAGAAGCATCACCCTGATCTCTGTCTTCATCTTCACAAACATCTTAGTGAGTTTGTGCTGCTATAACAAAATCCCACAGACTGAGTAATTTACAAACAACAGAAATTTATTCCTCACAGTTCTGGAGACTGGGAAGTCCAAGATCCAGGCACTGGCAGGTTCGGTGTCTGTGAAGGTCCATTCCTCAGAGATGGTGCGTCTGGGTTTCCTCATGTGATGGAAGGGACAGAAAGGCAAGAGAGCAAGAGGGGTGAACTCTCTCAGAAACCTCTTTCATAAGGTCATTAATCCCTTCATGAGGGGAGAGCCCTCATGGTTTCATCATGTCCCAAAAGGCCCTACTCCTTTTTGGTTTTTTTCAGAGGCAGGATGTCGCTCTGTCACCAAGGTTGGAGTGCAGTGGCAGGATCACAGCTCACTGTAACCTCAAATTCCTGGACTCAAGGGATCTGCCTGCCTCAGCCTCCCAAATAGCTGGGACTACAGGCGTGCACCACCATGCCTAATTTTTATTTATTTATTTATTGTAGAGACACGGTCTCACTATGTTGCCCAGACTGGTCGAAAACTCCTGGCCTCAAGAGATCCTCACACTTCGGCCTCCCAAAGTGCTGGGATTACAGGTGTGAGCCACTGTGCCTGGCTTCCTCCTCTTAATATCACCACAATGGGGACTAAGTTTCAGCACATGAATTTGGTGGGATATTCAGGCCATAGCAATGTTCTTCCTATGTGTGTGTCTGTGTCCACATTTCCTCTTTTGATATGAACACCAGTCATATTGATTAGGGGCCCACCCTACTCCAGTATGACCTCATCTTAATGGATTACATCTGCAATGACCCTATTTCCAAATAAGGTCACAGTCTGAGGTATTGGAGGTTAAGACTTCAACATATAACTTTGTGAAGGACACGAGTCAATGCATAACAGTGATGGGAGCTAGGTGAGCAGATGAGCACATGAGCAGATGGAAAGTGAGGAGAGGGCCCTGAGGAACTCTGACGGTGAAGAAAATGGAGACCTTTTTGAAATGACCAGAGGTAGGAGAGGTATTGCCGAAACCAGCAGAATCCGTGATCTAAAAAGGCAGTGACAAGCAGTGTTCATCACTGGGAGGAGGACAGGATGAGAGTGGGCTTGTCGCTGTGATGACAGTGTCGCTGTGATGGAGTGTCACAAACAACTCAGGAAGAGTTCACCCTGACACCCCAATACATATGCCTCTAACACTCTGCACCGCCACACCCCTGGGCAGTCAGTCACACATTGGCCATACCCTGAAGCCCACACTATCATTTATTTTTTATTTATTTATTTATTTATTGAGACGGAGTCTCAGTCTTGCTTTGTCACCCAGGCTGGAGTGCAGTGGCGTGATCTCGGCTCACTGCAAGCTCCACCACCCAGGTTCATGCCATCCTCCTGCCTCAGCCTCCCGAGTAGCTGACACTACAGGCGCCCGTCACCATGCCCGGCTAATGTTTTTGTATTTTCAGTAGAGACGGGGTTTCACTGTGTTAACCAGGATGGTCTCCATCTCCTGACCTCGTGATCCACCCGCCTTGGCCTCCCAAAGTGGTGGGATTACAGGTGTGAGCCACCACGCCCGGCCCCTGAAGCCCACACTATCACACGGATGCACAGTCACACAAAATACCCCCTACCGTGTCACAAATTCCTCATACACAGAGCCACACATGCCAGTCACAACCGCACATGCTAACAGTAAGTTAGGTTCCATTTTGTCACATACATCTGGGTCCCTCAGGCAGAGAAAGTGGCAACCAAAGCATGAGCACAGTTAAACATACTTCTGATGCACACTGGCCTCACTGTCTCTTGGTCTCTCTGTACTCACATGTGTGCATACAGGCACACGCACACATCCGCGCACACATGCACGCTCACACACGTGCATCCTTACACATGCTCACACTCACGCTCACAATGTCACACGCATGTGCACACCCGCACAAGCACACGAGCGCACTCACGAGCACACGCGGACTCGCACACGCGCACATGCGCACTCACGCACGCACACACGCGCACACTCACACGGGCGCGCGCAGCCCCTCCGGCCGCGGGCGCAGCGGGGGCGCTGGTGGAGCTGCGAAGGGCCAGGTCCGGCGGGCGGGGCGGCGGCTGGCACTGGCTCCGGACTCTGCCCGGCCAGGGCGGCGGCTCCAGCCGGGAGGGCGACGTGGAGCGGCCACGTGGAGCGGCCCGGGGGAGGCTGGCGGCGGGAGGCGAGGCGCGGGCGGCGCAGCAGCCAGGAGCGCCCACGGAGCTGGACCCCCAGAGCCGCGCGGCGCCGCAGCAGGTGGGTGACACCCCGCCCCGGCCGGCCGGAGACCCGAGCCCATCGCCGTCAGCCAGCCAGGGCCGCGCGGGGTAGGTGGCCTCCAGCCTCTGGTCCAGATCCCGAGAGCGCAGTCCCTCTGCATCCCCTGCGGCTCAGACGCGGCGGGAGCAGTGGCCCTTGCCCCTGTGTACCCTGAGGGCAGGTGGAGGAAGGGACTGGAGAGCGAGCCTGAGGCTCCTTGGTGTGAATTTGGGGCTTCGCAGTTCCCCAGGCGCTTCCCCCAGCCCCGCATTCCGTGTTCCAGCAGTCCTGGGGGAGGGGCAGCTGGCGGGAGCTTTCCCCCTCATCCGACGGGGAAGAAATGGAGCGCTGGGGAGGGCCCGAGGCTGTCGTCCGCTTGCAGGTGGCCGAGGGACCAGCTCCCGGGTGTGGGCTCCTCTAGCCCTGTAGCCGCTGTCTCCTTTCTTGGGGGATGGGTGCTGGGAGGCACAAGGGCACCAGAGGGATAAATTAAGAATTAAGGGAGAGGATTCTACTCAAAATTTTAGCTTCCCAACAGTTCGACTCTACAGGAGATGGAACTGCCGGCCTGTGAGGTGCTAGGTTCCTGTCCTGGAATGATTCAAGCAGAGGCCATTTGACAGGGTTGCTGAGGAAGAAATTTTTGCTTTGGATGGGAAGTTACCCAGGATAACCCTGCAAGGCCCCTGCCACAGCCCAGAGGCTCTGAAATACCCAAGCAGCACCTGCTTGGTGCCAGGCACCTACCCTAAGTTTTCTCATTGCAGCCTCCCCAAACCTTTAGGAGACAGATACCGTTATCCTCATTTTTAAAATGCAGATCCCGACCAGGAGCAGTGGCTCACGCCTGTAATCCCAGCACTTTGGGAGGCCGAGACGGGCGGAACACGAAGTCAGGAAATCGATACCATCCTGGTTAACACGGTGAAACCCCGTCTCTGCTAAAAATACAAAAAAAATTTAGCCAGGCGTGGTGGCAGGCGCCTGTAGTCCCAGATACTCGGGAGGCTGAGGCAGGAGAATGGAGAATGGCGTGAACCCGGGAGGCGGAGCTTGCTGTGAGCCGAGATCGTGCCATTGCACTCCAGCCTGGGCGACAGAGCGAGACTCCGCCTCAAAAAAAAAAAAAAAAAAAAATTCAGATCCCAGGGCTCAGAGAGGTTAAGACACCTGCCTAGGTCCCACAGTGAGTAGTATCAGAGGCAGGATTTGATCAGAAGTCTAACCTGTAGAGCGTGCTCTCCTCCCATGCACTGGTGCAAAGGCTTGAAGAACACTGGGGCCGGAGGGTCATTGTGAATGTGTGAGTGCACGTGTGTGACATAACTTTATTAAATTACATGGCAACTGTTAACAGTTATGGTGGCTTTCATGTGTTTATTAGGGTAATTATGTTCATGCACATTATAGTTATAGAAAATGGTTAGGGACATTTTTATTGGACAGGCAGTGGTTCAATAACTATTTTATTTCTCTCACAAAAGCTTTTGTTAATGTTTAGAAATGTCTAAGTGTCAACACATCGCACTAACCTCATTACACATTACATGAGGTGTCTTAGCCTTTCCTTAAACCACTGAGGTGGGTTACTTGCACTAAAATGTCACAGTTGGAAGCATTACTTAGAATATTGGCCAGGTGCAGTGGCTCATGCCTGTAATCCCAGCACTTTGGGAGGCCAAGGTGGGTAGATCACTTGATCAGGGGTTCGAGAACAGCCTGTCCAACGTGGTGAAACCCCGTCTCTACTAAAAATACAAAAATTAGCCAGGTGTAGTGGTGCACACCTGTAATCCCAGCTACTTGGGAGGCTGAGGCAGGAGAATCGCTTGAGCCTGGGAAGTGGAGACTATGGTGAGTAGATTTTGCGCCACTGCACTCCAGCCTGGGTGACAGAGCGAGACTCTGTCTCAAAAAAAGAGAGAGAGAGAGAGAGAGAGAGAGAGAGAGAGAGAGAGAGAGAGAGAGAGAATAGGCCTGGCCTGGTGGCTCATCCCTGTAATCCCAGCACTTTGGGAGGCCAAGGTGGGCAGATCACCTGAGGTCAGGAGTTCAAGACCAGCCTGGCCAAGATGCCGAAACCCCATCTCTACTAAAAATACAAAATTAGCAGGTCATGGTGGCACATGCCTGTAATCCCAGCTACTCGGGAGGCTGAGGCAGGAGAATCGCTTGAACTCGGGAGGTGGAGGTTGTGGTGAGCTGAGATCGCGCCATTGCACTCCAGCCTGGGCAGCAGAGTGAGACTCTATCTCAAAAAAAAAAAAATTATACTGAAAGTCCACATCATTTACTTTTTTTTTTCTCTCTCTTTTTTTGAGACAGTCTTGCTCTGTGACCCCAGCTGGAGTGCAATGGCACAATCTTGGCTCATTGCAACCTCTGCCTCCTGGGTTCAAGCAATTCTCGTGTCTCAGCCTCCGAAGTAGCTGGGATTACAGGCACGTGCCACTGTGCCTGGCTAATTTTTATATTTTTAGTAGAGATGGGGTTTCACCATGTTGGCCAGGCTGGTCTCAAACTCCTGACCTCAGGTGATCCTTCCACCTTGGCCTCCTAAAGTGCTGGGATTACAGGTGTAAGCCACCATGCCCGGCCTTTGTTTTTTTTTTTTTTTTTGGTGGCATCTTGCTGTCATCCAGGCTGGAGTGCAGTGGTGTAATTATAGCTCACTGCAGCCTTCAACTCCTGGGCTGAAGTGATCCTCCTGCATCAGCCTCTCAAGTAGCTGGGACCATAGATTTGAGCCACCATGCTGTCTAATTAAAAACAATTTTTGTTTGTTTTTTTTAGAGATGGGGGGGGTCTCATTTTGCTGCCCAGGCTGGTCTCGAACTCCTGGCTTCAAGCAATCCTTTTGCCTTGGCCTGCGAAGTACTGGGATTACAGGCGTGAGCCATTGTACTCAGCCCAATCACTTGCATTTTTGAGGTGGGCTATAACCGAATGCTAAGGTTGTCAGGAGGGCCCAGGACATTCCAGATTGAGGATGGAACAGGTTGGGCAAAAGCACTGAAAAGTGAAAGTGGAAAGTATTTTAGGAGACTCCAATAACTCCTTGGTTTGAAGCAGTGTGCTATCATAATACAGCACTGGAAGATGAGTCAACAGTAACTTGATATCTGATTGTAGAAGGCCTTGAATGCCCAGGTGAAGATTCTGGACTGTAATCGAAATAGGGAGCCACTGAAGGTTCTAGAGCAGTGGAATTCTAGCAAAGGATGATTTATCTGATGTGGGTGTGGAGGGTTCTTTAAGTGGAGAAAATACCAGAGACAGGGATAACACTAAAAGGCTTGTATATTAGTTTGTGCCAGAAGTAATTCATTATTCATTTAATGTTCACTGTAACCCTGTGAGGTAAATATTATCTCCAGTATGTGGATAAGGTAACTGAAGTTTAGTGAGAAAAATTAATTTACCCAAGGTCACAGGGACACTCAGTGGTGGAGCTTGGGTTTAAAAGTAGGTCTGGCTGTTTCCAAAGCTCTGTTTTCTGTCCATTAAACATACTGAAGAGTTAAATATATGAGGGGTACATAGGACCAAGAAGAGGAGAGTGATAGTCATTCACGGGGTAGGACTCAGGACCAGGTGCATAATTTGCAGGGCTCGGTGCAAAAATGATTGAGAGTTTCAAGATAGTGACAACAGAGCATTAGCCTAAGCACAGGGCCCCTCTGAGAGCGGGGAACTTGTGACTTCACAGGACGCACACCCATGAAGCCAGCCCTTACATGGTTGGTTTTCCAATTACTATGGCAGTGTAACAAACCACCTCAAAATGTAATGGCTTAAAAGGATAATGGGCCCAGCATGGTAGCTCATGCCTATAATCCCAGCACTTTGGAAAGCCGAGGCAGGAGGATTGCTTGAGCCTGGGGGTTTCCAATCAGCCTGGGCAACATGTGAGACCCTGTCACACACACACACACACAAAAAGATAACGTTGATGTTGACTTTGCACATGAGTGCAGGCTGTGGAGACAAGCACATTTCTACTGCATTCAGTGTTGGCTGGGGCAGCTCAGAGGCTGGGGGTTAGAATTATCCGGAGCTTGGCTCTCTCCCCTGTCTGGTTGTTGGGCTGGGAAGATTTGAGCTGGAGGCTTCTCAGGCATCTGTTTCTAGGTGGGTTCTCCACACTCTCTCTTCCGTAGGGTGGTTTCGGGGAGACCAGGCTCCTTCCATGGTGGCTCAAGGTTCCAGAGGTGCACATCTGTGTGTCAAGTGAAGGGGAGAACCAGAACCAGGCATAAGCTAGGTCACTTTTATTACTTGGACTTGGAAGTCATGTAAGCACCATTTCAGCAACTCATTAGAAGCCAGTCACTAAGTCCAGATCATATACAAGGGGAGGCGAGTTAGACTCCAAGTTTTGTGGGAAGGAATGTCAAAGAATGTGTAGACAGGTTTTTAAAGCTACCACAGTGGCCTAATGAGTGAGAGGATGAGTGGATCTGAGGGGTGCTTCCCCTTTATGCCTGAACGGCTCCCCCCAGAGTCATCCTTTGGAGTTCACAGACATCCTCCTTTAAAAGGCATCTGAGGGCCGGGTGTGGTGGCTCACACCTATAATCCCAGCACTTTGGGAGGCTGAGGCAGGCGGATCACGAGGTCAAGAGATCGAGACCATCCTGGCCAACATGGTGAAACCCCGTCTCTACTAAAAATACAAAAATTAGCTGGGTGTGGTGGCGTGCACCTGTAGTCCCAGCTACTTGGGAGGCTGAGGCAGGAGAATTGGTTGAACCTGGGAGACGGAGGTTGCAGTGAGCCGAGATCACGCCACTGCACTCCAGCCTGGTGACAGAGCGAGACTCTGTCTCAAAAAAAAAAAAAAAAAAAAAAAGGCACCTGCTAGTATGTAAGAACACGTGAAGGCTGGATGATGAGTTTTGACAGCTCTGAGGGATTTAAATGACTCCAGTGCCTCCTGTCGGCCTGGGTCCTAGCAGTAAACAGATAGGGTGGAGAAAGCAATTTGAGAGGAGCCAGGTGGGAAGGGGGTGTGTGAAGCCACTGTGGGGCCGTGCAGATGAACTCTTGGAAGGAAAAAGGCCTTATTGTAGATCAGGCACTGCACTTTACACATCTTGTCTCATTAATTAAACCCTCACCACAGCCCTGCCAGAGGTGCTCTCGTCAGCCCCGCATTACAGATGGAGAACCTGAAGCACAGAAAAGCCGCACAGCTAGTGGGCTGCGGAGCCCAGATTTGAACACAGGCAGCCTGAGGTCAGGGCCCATACCCCCCAACTTTGGGCCGTACCACCTATTCCATAGCAATTCTGTGTTTTTCTTGCGTTAACATTTGTATCTTTTCCTACTTACATATTTGCAAGCTTTAGGGGGAAAAAGAAAAAGTAATTCGACCTTAAGAGATCAGCTTAGTGATAAGAGAGTGCCTCACATATGGCAGGTGTTCAATAAATATTAAAGAAATGAATATTTATCCTTATTGTACAAACTTATATCTAACTTGCCTTCCCTACGGATGCTTGCCCTCTGGTCTTTGTCATGTGGCAGCTGTTGGTGCTTTCCATGGTATTCTCTGTGGCACCCAGGCCAGGGAGCCAGAACTTCTGGCATTCTCCTGGTCAACTGGCTCTCTCAGCCATTAGGCACCCCTCCTTCCACCTTAGAGACTGGAACCCTCAGCTGACCTCAGCCCCCTTCTTCAAACCAGCAGCACTCTAGATACAAAGAACTGGGAGAGGCAGCCCTCTCTCTGCCCATTCACCCAGACCCTCCTTCAGCTGCTGCTTCCTGACCTCCCAGGCACCCTGTAGGCAGGGCCTTCTCTCTAACCTTCCTGGAAACAAGGCACTCATCTCTGCGGCTCCTGGACCCCATTCAGTACCCATAGGGTTTCTAGGGAGATTTCTGTCTTCTACTTCCTGCTGAGGCCCAGGTGGTGGAACCCCACCCTTCTGGGGACCCGGGAAGCCTCCACACACTAGCGGCAATTCCTTCAGTTCTCTGTCACTTGTCTCCTCGAACGTGATTTGTGGTATATTTCATGACACAGAAGTTTAAACTTTTGATATACTCAAATCTGCTCATTTTTTCCTTTTAAACTTTCTGAGTTGATGTATTATATTTAATGGTTCTATCACATAATATGGTTTGTTCAGCCATTGCCTAAATGTTAGACATTCAGGTTGCTTACATTTGTTTGACTAATATTAATAGCACAGCTATACATATCTTTGTAATTTCTTTTCCATTTATATTCTTTTATGTAATCCCCAAGACGATATTGTTGGGTCAGAGTTTTAGGAAATTAATACACATTTCCAGACTGCTCTCTAAAAACATTTCAGGTTTATAGTTCCAGAAGCAGTAAAGGTTAATACTCACTGATTCAGTTTCCTTAGTGATTGTAAGACTATCAAAGCTTATTTCTTTTTGCATCAGTTTTGCTATTAAGTTTTTCTAGGAAATTGGCCATATCCTCTAAGTTTTCAAATCTCTGCTGTTTCTTTAGTTATGTCCCTATTTTCCTTCTTAATATTGTTTGTGCCTTTTCTATTTGTTCTTTTAGTCTTTGGTTTATTTTTTTCTGAAATGGGGTCTCACTCTGTCACCCAGGCTGGAGTACAGCAGCACAATCACAGCTCACTGCAGTCTCAACCTCCTGGGCTCAAGTCATCCTTCACCTCAGCTTCCCAAGTAGCTAGGACTACAGGCGTGCACCACCACACCCAGCTAATTTTTTAAAATTAATTTTTTGTAGAGATGGGGGTCTCACTATGTTGCCCAAGCTGGCCTCCAACTTCTGGGCTCAAGCAATCCTTCTGCCTCAGCCTCCCAAAGTGCTGGTGAGAGGTGACAGTGTGTGCCCTCGCTCGTTCTCGGCGCCTCCTCGGCCTTGGCGCCCACTCTGGCCGCGCTTGAGGAGCCCTTCAGCCCACCGTTGCACTGTGGGAGCCCCTTTCTGTACTGGCCAAGGCCGGAGCCGGCTCCTTCAGCTTGCAGGGAGGTGTGTAGGGAGAGGCGCGAGCGCGAACCGGGGCTGCGCGCGGCGCTTGCCGGCCAGCGCGAGTTCCGGGTGGGCGTGGGCTCGGGGGCCCAGCACTCGGAGCTGCCGGCCGGCCCCGCCGGCCCCGGGCAGTGAGGGGCTTAGCACCTGGGCCAGCAGCTGCTGTGCTCTACTTCTCGCCGGGCCTCAGCTGCCTCCCCGCGGGGCAGGGCTCGAGACCTGCAGCCCGCCATGCCTGAGCCTCCCCACTGCCGTGGGCTCCTGCACGGCCCAAGCCTCCCAACGAGCGCCACCCCCTGCTCCACGGCGCCCTGTCCCATCGACCACCCAAGGGCTGAGGAGTGCGGGCGCAGGGTGTGGGACTGACAGGCAGCTCCACCTGCGGCCCCGGTGCAGGATCCACTGGGTGAAGCCAGCTGAGCTCTTGAGTCTGGTGGGGACTTGGAGAACCTTTATGTCTAGCTAAGGGATTGTAAATACGCCAGTTGGCACTCTGTATCTAGCTCAAGGTTTGTAAACACACCAATCAGCACCCTGTGTCTAGCTCTGGGTTTGGGAATGCACCAATTGACACTCTGTATCTAGCTAACCTAGTGGGGACGTGGAGAACCTTTGTGTCTAGCTCAGGGATTGTAAACGCACCAATCAGCACCCTGTCAAAACAGACCACTCCGCTCTCTGTAAAATGGACCAATCAGCAGGATGTGGGTGGGGGCCGGATAAGAGAATAAAAGCAGGCTGCCAGAGCCAGTAGTGGCAATCTGTTCAGGTCGTTTTCCATAGTGTGGAAGCTTTGTTCTTTCGCTCTTTGCAATAAATCTTGCTGCTGCTCACTCTTTGGGTTCACACTGCCTTTATGAGCTGTAACACTCACCACGAAGGTCTACAGCTTTACTCCTGAAGCCAGCGAGATCACGAACCCACTGGGAGAAACGAACAACTCCAGACGCACTACCTTAAGAGCTGTAACACTCACTGCGAAGGTCCGCAGCTGCATTCCTGAGCCAGCGAGACCACAAACCCACCAGAAGGAAGAAACTTCGAACGCATCCGAACATCAGAAGGAACAAACTCCAGACACGCCGCCTTTAGGAACTGTAACACTCAACCGCGAGGGTCCGCGGCTTCATTCTTGAAGTCAGTGAGACCAAGAACCCACCAATTCCGGACACACTGGGATTACAGGTGTGAACCACAACACCTGGCTCTCTTTGTTCCTAATTGAAATTGCCAAAGGTTTGTCTGTTTTACTAGGCTTTTGTTTCTTTGTATATATATATTTTTTATTTTACTAGTCTTTTTAAAGAAACCACCCTTGTTTGGCTCTGTTGCTTCTCTTTATTGTGTTTTTAATTTCTGCTATTATTTCATTTATTTTAATTTCTTTAAGTGTAGTCTCTTTTATTAGTGCTGTTTTTGTTATTTTTGGGTTTGTGTGTGTGTGTGTGTGTATTTTTTTGGAGATAGTCTGACTGTCACCGAGGCTGGAGTGTAGTGGTATAATTGCAGCTTACTACTGCCTCAATGTCCCACGTTCAAATGTTCTTCCCACCTCAGCCTCCCTAGTAGCTGGATCTACAGATGTATGTCACCACACCCAGCTAATTTTTTTAAAAATTATTTTCTGTAGAGACAGGGTGTTGCCCAGGCTGGTCTCAAACTCCTGGGCTCAAACAGAGACTATGTTGCCCAGGCTGGTCTCAAACTCCTGGGCTCAAGTGATCCTCCCACCTCGGCCTCCCAAAGTGCTGGAATTACAGGCATTAGCCACACACCCAGCCTTTACTTTTTATTTCTTCTTTTTCATCTTTTCCTGCTTTTATTTCTTCTTTTTCTGCCTTTCTTTTAGTTCAGTTTTTAAAATTCCATTAATTTTTTTCTACTGGTTTGAGGCTATACATTCCAGTTCTAATTTTTTAATGGTTATCCTTAAAATTTTAACATGCTTTTTTTTTTTTTTTTTTTTTTTTTTGAGACGGAGTCTTCCTCTTGTTGCCCAGGCTGGAGTGCAATGGTGTGATCTCGGCTCACCACAACCTCCGCCTCCCAGGTTCAAGCGATTATCCTGCCTCAGCCACCCAAGTAGCTGGGATTACAGGCATGCACCACCTTGCCCAGCTAATTTTGTATTTTTAGTAGAGACAGGGTTTCTCCATGTTGGTCAGGCAGATCTTGAACTCCCAACCTCAGGTGATCCGCCCACCTCGGCCTCCCAGAGTGCTGGGATTACAGGCGTGAGCCACCGCGCCCAGCCTTAACATGCATATTTAACAAAGTTCATCAATATGTCCACTCTCTTCCCAAACAG
Source organism: Homo sapiens (assembly GCF_000001405.40). Classification (NCBI taxonomy): domain Eukaryota; kingdom Metazoa; phylum Chordata; class Mammalia; order Primates; family Hominidae; genus Homo; species Homo sapiens. The sequence continues at coordinate 27,109,549 of NC_000002.12, read as the reverse complement.
CCATCTTTGCTTTACATGTCATTGTCCAATATTGTAGTTCAGACCAGCTTTTTTGCCTCATATATTAACATAATTAGCATTGTTTAACAGTCTATGTCTGTTTAGATTTAGCCACATACTTTGTGATTTCTTTGCTCCACATGTTTTCTTGCATTTCAAACCCTTTTTTTTTTTTTTTAAGACAGGGTCTTGCTCTGTTGCCCAGGCTAGATTACAGTGGTGTGATCAGAGCTCACTGCCTCCTTCACCTCTTGGGCTCAAGCGATCCTACCACCTCAGCTTCCTGAGTAGCTGGGACTACAGGCACACCCCACCATGCCCGGCTAATTTTTTCCTATTTTTTGTAGAAATGGAGTCTCACTATATTGCCCAGGCTGGTCTTGAACTCCTGGGCTCAGGAGATCCTTCCACCTCAGCTTCCCAAAGTGCTGGGATTACAGGCACGAACTCATATCCAGCTGAATTTCCTTTAATGAAGGAATGTTAGTGGCAAATTCTCTAAGTTATTTGCCTAAAATTGTTTTTACAAGGTAGGAGGATTGCTTGCACCCAAGACCAGCCTGGGCAACAAAGTTGAGACCCTGTCTCTACCAAAAAAAAAAAGCTGGGCATGGTGGCACATTCATGTCGTCCCAGCTACTTGTGAGGCAGGAGTGGGAGAATTGCTATGATCATGCCAGGAGTTCCAGCCTGGGCAACAGAGTGAGACCCTGTCTCTAAATAAATAAATAAATAAATTTGCTTCACCTCATTCTGCAAGATAATTTTGCTGAGAATAGAATTCTAGAATATCAATTTTCTCCCCTCTCTGAACACATTAAAATACTATATTACTGTATTTGGGCATCATTGATGTCAAGAAATCAGCTATCAGTCTAATTACTTTTCCTATGAGATGATTTGTCTTTTCTTTCTGACTGCTTTTACAATTTTTTTTTTCTTGAGTGTTCTATTTTAGAAAAATAGGTCTAGGTGAGAATTTCTGTTTATTTAATCTGCATTGAATTGTTGGGCTTCCTGGATTGGCATATTCCAGTGTTTTGCAACCTACTGGAAAAATGTCAGCTATTATTTCTTCAAATACTGCTTTTTTCCAGTTGTATCTCTTATCTTCTCCATCCACCTTGCCACTTAACCTCTGTTTTATATTTTCTATGTCTTTGACTCAATGAACTGCACTCTGGATAATTTATTCAGATCTATTTTCCAGTTCATTAACTCTCATATCAGTTGTGTCTAATCAATTTAACTCACCCGTTGCATTTTTATTTTTATTTTTTATTTTATTTATTTTTTTAAGACAGTCTCACTCTGTCGCTCAGGCTGGAGCGCAGTGGGGTGATCTTGGCTCACTGCAACCTCCGCCTCCTGGGTTCAAGCGATTCTCCTGCCTCAGCCTCCCGAGTAGCTGGGATTACAGGCGTGTGCCACCAAGCCCAGCTAACTTGTGTATTTTTAGTAGAGACGGGGTTTCACCATGTTGGCCAGGCTGGTCACCCATTGCATTTTTAAAATCAATCTTTTATTTCTAAAAGTTATGTTTGTTTCCTCTTCAAATCTACTTGGTCATTTTTATGCTCTTATTTCTTTCTTTCTTTCTTTTTTTTTTTTTTTTTGAGACAGAGTCTCGCTCTGTGGCCCAGGCTGGAGTGCAGTGGCATGATCTCAGCTCACTGCAACCTCTGCCTCCCAGGTTCAAGTGATTCTTCTGCCTCAGCCTCCCGAGTAGCTGGGATTACAGGTGCCCACCACCACGCCTGGCTAATTTTTTGTATTTTTAGTAGAGACGGGGTTTCACCATGTTGGCCAGGATGGTCTCAATCACCTGACCTCGTGATCCACCAGCCTCAGCCTCCTAAAGTGCGGGGACTACAGGCATGAGCCACCACACCCGGCCTCTTTTTTTTTTTTTTAAAACATACTGTTGCTGGCCGGAAAACTCTTATTTCTTCCTCATAGTTTCAAGCTTCCCTTTAATTTCTTAAAACATGTGAACTGGCCGGGTGCGGTGACTCATGCCTGTAATCCCAGCACTTTGGGAGGCCAAGGTGGGCAGATCATGAGGTCAGGAGTTTGAGACCAGCCTGATCAACATGGTGAAACCCCATCTCTACTAAAAATACAAAAATTAGCAGGGCGTGGTGGCACATGCCTGTAATCCCAGCTACTTAGGAGGGTGAGGCAGGGGAATTGCTGGAACTCGGGAGGCAGAGATTGCAGTGAGCTGAGATTGCACCACGGCACTCCAGCCTGGGCAACAGAGCGAGACCCTCTCTCAAACAAAACAAAACAAAAAAAATGTGAACTGTATCTGCTGTATATTCTGTGTGTAACAATTCCAACACAGCTTTTCCAAGTCTACTTTTCCCTGCTATTGTTTTGCTGGCTCTTACTCAGTGTCTTATTTCTTTGTATGTTTATAACGTTTTGGCTATGAGTTCATATTCCTGGAAACTTTACCTATGGAAATTCTTTGAGGCCTGGATTAGAGTTGCTCCAGAGATGTGTGTTTTCCTCTGCCAGTCATCTGGGGGTGCCATCAACCAGGTTGCACTTCAAAATACATTACCTACTTTAGATGTTCTGACCATACAGGTAGCATTAATAATTCAGGCTTCAAACCCACATTAGAGGGCAGGCGCAGTGGTTCATGCCTGTAATCCCAGCAGTTTGGGAGGCTGAGGCGGGAGGATCACCTGAGATCAGGAGTTCGAGACCAGCTTGGCCAACACAGCGAAACTCTGTCTCTAGTAAAAATACAAAAAATTAGCTGGGCATGGTGGCACATGCCTGTAGTCCCAGATACTCAGGAGGCTGAGGCAGGAGAATCGCTTGAGCCCGGGAGGTGGAGGTTGCAGTGAGCTGATATCATGCCACAGCAACTCCAGCCTGGGCGACAGAGTGAGAGAGACTCCATCCCAGAAAAAACAAAAACAAAAAATCCACATTAGATCAGGCTTGTTATAGAGTCTCAGGGAGAGTTTTTTTTCTCCCTTCTACACAGCACCAAAATCAAGAAAGGCAAAATTCTTTGCTGCCCTTCTTCATGACAAATTTACTTTTTGTTCATGTTCAGAGTGTAGCTGTTTGGAATCCCAGCTTTACGTAGGGAATCTCCTGTTAGTCTCTTCATATCAGGTGGGCCCAGGTATCATCTCTGGTCTCCTTTACAGCACAAGCACACTGACAGGCAGCTCAAGTTCACCTGGGTTTGGTTTGGCAGATACTCCTAAGGCAAAAGCTAATGTCAAGCTCACTTTCCCCCAGATTACTGTTTTCACTGCACATTTGTACTGTTGAGGATTTCTTGCCAACCCAGTGCTTTTGAAAAGATACTTTCTATTTTTATCCAGCTTTGTGGTTACTTTCATTGGGACATTTACTATTACACTCCCAGAAGTGGAAGTCTGAATGTTTTTCTAGTCCATCCTTTTTCTGGGCTGTGACCCTTTGACGGTTTCATGTTGATACAGAGATCTCAGTTCCAATGGCCTACCTTGAACGGGCCCAGGACCTTGTCTTCTCTTCCAGGTGCAACGACTAAAACCCTAGGATTTATGTTGCCAGCTGATGTTGGTGAATACCTTTAGGGCAGCTGTGGCTTCAGCATCTATTTTTGGCTACTGGGGCTTATAGACACCAACAAATTATGTATACTCACTTTATCTGTTGGGCCAGTTGTATGCATAGAAAAATGAAGACGGGCCAAGTGCAGTGCCTCACGCCTGTAATCCCAGCACTTTGGGAGGCCCAGGCGGGCAGATCACCTGAGGTCAGGTGTTCAAGACCAGCCTGACCAACATGGTGAAACCCCGTCTCTACTAAAAATACAAAAATTAGCCAGGTGTGGCGGCAGTTGCCTGTAATCCCAGCTACTCGGGAGGCTGAGGCAGGAGAATCACTTGAACCAGGGAGGTGGAGGTTGCAGTGAGCTGAGATCATGCCACTGCACTCCAGCTTGGGTGACAGAGCAGGACTCCTTCTCAAAAAAAAAGAAAAAAAAGAAAAATGACAGGTTCTGTGACTCTAGGTAGCTTCATCTTCTTGTGGACTTCCATGTTTAGCTAGTTTTCCCTTAAGGTAGCTTTAAAAGGCAGAATTTTGTTTATCTTCCCATTAGCCAGGTGCTTACCTGCTCTACCCCTCATCTCTTAGGAAATGGAAGTCCATCCTGGCAGTGGTTCTGAACCTTATTAGGGTCATGGGTTGCTTGGAGAATCTGCTGAAAGCTATGAACCTTCCTCTAGGAAAACCCAGTGTCAGCCAGATGGGGATGTTCCTGATCTCTGCTAGACCATCAAGCATCTGACGGTTTTTCTTTCTAGAGATGGGCTTGGGGTCTCATGCCTTGGCTTTGGTGGGCTTCTGCTTCCTCAGGAACTCACACTACCTGTACATACCCTGGGACTCACCAGAAAGCTTTAGGCTCTGTTTGATTGGTCCATTCTATCCTTGACTGTTTTCATATACTCAAGTGGTTGATTTTGCCAATGGGCCTAAGCCATGTCAGTCTTAGGGGAAGTTTTTGTTTTTTCCTTTATAGTGGGTCTAATTTTCCTAACTGCATTTAGCAAATAGCAATTCCTGGGGCCACTGTTGGTCTGACCCTGATTTATTGTGTTTGCAGTTTGTACTTGAGTTTAGACCTATTTCAAGAAGTCTGCGCCTCTTTTGATTTGTTCTTCAGTGGGTTTTTAATAAACACAAACAGTCCATTTCTCTTTTTGCCTGTGTTTAAGTCTTGGTCTTTTTGTGACTCCCTGCGTTTCTTACCTGGCCTTTTTCTTAAACTTTCTGCGCTCCTTTCCATCTGTAAGATGAATGGGCTGAAGGAGGTCAGATATGCTTGCGCTGTACTTCTCTGGGCACCTTGGCACCTAGTGGGGAGCAAGGGAATGGGGCGTGGGGTGGGGATGCGCCCCCAGCTCTGCTTCCGCCACAGCAGGCCTGCCTTTATGTGCTTTATATACAAGAGCTGGAGTGACATTTATTTTGAGCATAGTTCCATGGGATCCCTGCTGTCTGTCTGTGAGTCCTCCCTGAGCAGGAGTCCTGTCTTTGGGGCTGCAGGTAGAAGCAGGCAGAAAATGCGCTTGTGTCTAACCCAGCCCATCTGTGACACGGTGGCAGACGCCTCTTTCCCCCGACCCCTGATTCTCTTCCTTGTTCCAGTTCCAGGAAGGATGTTACCTTTGACGATGACAGTGTTAATCCTGCTGCTGCTCCCCACGGGTCAGGCTGCCCCAAAGGATGGAGTCACAAGGTAACAGGGTTATGAGGGCAGGGCCAAGGGCTGGGAGGAGGGAAAGTCTCTAGAGAATCCAAGGGTGTGGTGGGCCCTCTGGGAGGCAGGAGACTGGGGTGTAGGTTCCCCGATCTCTGTATCTCCCTGCCATCAGCCTCCCATCTTGTGCCTGTCAGAGTGCCACAAAGTGGGCATTCAGTACATGCTTGCTGGACCCATTTGGAATCAGAGAACTCAGCTCCAGTGCATCGTGAAGAACAGGGAAGAAGCTGTGGCGCCAGAGAAGTGGGGGCTGCAATTGTTTGTTTGTTTGTTTGTTCTTGAGACAGAGTCTTACTCTGTCGCCCAGGCTGGAGTGCAGTGGCATGATCTCAGCTCACTGCGAGCTCCGCCTCCCGGGTTCAAGCAATTCTTCTGCCTCAGCCTCCCGAGTAGCTGGGACTACAGGCGCCCGCCACCATGCTGGGCTAATTTTTGTATTTTTAGTAGAGGTGGGGTTTCACCATGTTGGCCAGGCTGGTCTCGAACTCTTGACCTTGTGATCCGCCCACATCGGCCTCTCAAAGTGCTGGGATTACAGGCATGAGCCACCGTGCCTGGCCTGCAGTTTTGTTATCAAGACCTTGAGGTGGGCTGGGTGTGGTGGCTCACACCTGTAATCCCAGCACTTTGGGAGGCCGAGGCGGACAGATCACCTGAGGTCAGGAGTTCGAGACCAGCCTGGCCAACATGGTGAAACCCCATCTCTACAGAAATAAAAAACAATTAGCCGGGCATGGTGGTGCATGCCTGTAATCCCAGCTACTCAGGAGGCTGAGGCAAGAGAATCGCTTGAACCCGGGAGGTGGAAGTTGCAGTGAGCCGAGATCAAGCCACTGCACTCAGCCTGGGTGACAGAGCGAGACTCTATCTCAGAAAAAAAAAGACCTTATGGTGGCAACACCAAAGAAGTAGAGATCATTAGCATGTCATTTCTATGTTATCTGAATACCTTTCTGAAGGTTTTATTTATAAATACTGTGCAATGGGTATGCTGGGTAGAAGGGGAAACAGCCACAGGAACAGCCACAGGGGCTGGTAGCTGTGACAAAAGTCGCTGCAACTCCTGCCAGCTCTCTGGCATCACAGGTCTGGATTGACTTGGGCAAACAGTTAACCCAGTCCAGAAGTGGGAGCACATTTGGAGCTTGAAAGACTGACAACGAGATCCTGAGCAGCTTGAAACCCCAGAACCAACAGATACACCCTGTCCTGGAAAAAGTATAGGTCAATTTTATGTCATGGAGCAAACTGGGTCTATATAAAACTGGGCAGTGCCACCAGGCTCAGCCAGAGACCTGTCCCTTGGCTCCCAGCATGGAAGGAGAGGGGTCTGTGACCCATGTTGTCCTGCCACTCACTGGGCTGTTTTCTTGGATCTCTAACTTGTGTCTACTAGGTGTGGCCTCATCTGGCCTCTACCTAACCAGTTGTTTTATTTGGGTTTTCATTTAAAGTCTAAGGTAGCCAGCTGCAAAAACAGAGTCTGAGGGAGTTAAGGATTTGGTTCCAAGGAGACCAGAAGAGCCTCCCCACTACAGGGTTTTTGGAATTTTGGGGGCAACTCCCTTTGGGTCTGGGGAGAAAACTGCCAGGAGATTGGAGGCAGAAGGTTGGCAGGCTGGGCCCTGAGGGAGGCTCTCTGCAAGGCTGGTCCTCCCCTTCCTCCTCCAGGCCAGACTCTGAAGTGCAGCATCAGCTCCTGCCCAACCCCTTCCAGCCAGGCCAGGAGCAGCTCGGGTGAGTAGGGTGGGCCGGGGGTGCTTTCAGGGAGAAGACCAGGCCCAGGGCTGCAGACTCACCTCTCCCGGGCTGATTCTCCACTTTTCTGACAGACTTCTGCAGAGCTACCTAAAGGGACTAGGAAGGACAGAAGTGCAACTGGAGCATCTGAGCCGGGAGCAGGGTGAGGGGCTGGGCTGATGGGGCCAGGGACGGGAGGCTCTGGGCAGCCAGATCTGGGACTGACCTCGGCTGCCCCATTGACTCCTGCCTTCTCCACCTCCCCCGGCACCTCTTCTAATCCAGCTTCTCTTCTCTTTAGTTCTCCTCTACCTCTTTGCCCTCCATGACTATGACCAGAGTGGACAGCTGGATGGCCTGGAGCTGCTGTCCATGTTGACAGCTGCTCTGGCCCCTGGAGCTGCCAACTCTCCTACCACCAACCCGGTAAGCTCTGCTGGATGGAGATCCCCGCATAAAGGAGACCCAGCACTTTGGGGCTTTGGTCTTTCTCATCATAACTCTTTTGGTGAGTCCTCTGTAAAAGGAGGGCTCAGAGCTTGCACGGCAGGGATGCAAGGGTGTGTTAGGGAGGGTCAGAACTCCTGGGAACATCTCTGTCCCTGGAGACCCCACAGTGACTCTGCTTCCACAGGTGATCTTGATAGTGGACAAAGTGCTCGAGACCCAGGACCTGAATGGGGATGGGCTCATGACCCCTGCTGAGCTCATCAACTTCCCGGGAGTAGCCCTCAGGCACGTGGAGCCCGGAGAGCCCCTTGCTCCATCTCCTCAGGAGCCACAAGCTGTTGGAAGGCAGTCCCTATTAGCTAAAAGCCCATTAAGACAAGAAACACAGGAAGCCCCTGGTCCCAGAGAAGAAGCAAAGGGCCAGGTAGAGGCCAGAAGGGAGTCTTTGGATCCTGTCCAGGAGCCTGGGGGCCAGGCAGAGGCTGATGGAGATGTTCCAGGGCCCAGAGGGGAAGCTGAGGGCCAGGCAGAGGCTAAAGGAGATGCCCCTGGGCCCAGAGGGGAAGCTGGGGGCCAGGCAGAGGCTGAAGGAGATGCCCCCGGGCCCAGAGGGGAAGCTGGGGGCCAGGCAGAGGCTGAAGGAGATGCCCCCGGGCCCAGAGGGGAAGCTGGGGGCCAGGCAGAGGCCAGGGAGAATGGAGAGGAGGCCAAGGAACTTCCAGGGGAAACACTGGAGTCTAAGAACACCCAAAATGACTTTGAGGTGCACATTGTTCAAGTGGAGAATGATGAGATCTAGATCTTGAAGATACAGGTACCCCACGAAGTCTCAGTGCCAGAACATAAGCCCTGAAGTGGGCAGGGGAAATGTACGCTGGGACAAGGACCATCTCTGTGCCCCCTGCCTGGTCCCAGTAGGTATCAGGTCTTTCTGTGCAGCTCAGGGAGACCCTAAGTTAAGGGGCAGATTACCAATAAAGAACTGAATGAATTCATCCCCCCGGCCACCTCTCTACCCGTCCAGCCTGCCCAGACCCTCTCAGAGGAACGGGGTTGGGGACCGAAAGGACAGGGATGCCGCCTGCCCAGTGTTTCTGGGCCTCACGGTGCTCCGGCAGCAGAGCGCATGGTGCTAGCCATGGCCGGCTGCAGAGGACCCAGTGAGGAAAGCTCAGTCTATCCCTGGGCCCCAAACCCTCACCGGTTCCCCCTCACCTGGTGTTCAGACACCCCATGCTCTCCTGCAGCTCAGGGCAGGTGACCCCATCCCCAGTAATATTAATCATCACTAGAACTTTTTGAGAGCCTTGTACACATCAGGCATCATGCTGGGCATTTTATATATGATTTTATCCTCACAATAATTCTGTAGCCAAGCAGAATTGGTTCCATTTGACAGATGAAGAAATTGAGGCAGATTGCGTTAAGTGCTGTACCCTAAGGTGATATGCAGCTAATTAAATGGCAGATTTTAATCCAGGTCTGTCTCACTCTAAAGCCCTTTACATTATATGCTCTTTACATTATAAGGCCTTACCCACCCTATATTGGAGTTGGCCCCAATTCCAATATGTGTTCCAGATCGGACCTCCCTGAGGACAGCAACACTCTGTATCCTGGGTCACATTTGTGGCTGAGGCACGCCCTTAATTCCAAGGTGGGCTCCAAGGGTGAGACTTTCAGGCTCTGGGGCAGTCAGCGGGAGGAGGTATTTCTGGACAATGAAGACCCCATCAAATCACAGGCTGGTGGGCAGGGCAGAGGAGGCGCACCCCTGCCCCCCACTGGCCTGTCAGTTCAGCTCAGCGGTGTGGACTCCCAGCTTCTGAGCTGTGGGAATAGAGTCTGCACAACGCAGGGCCCCGAAGAGCTCTCACGGTTTCTTTGGCAGGTTCACTGGGTGTGGGGCACCGAGTGTCCTCCCCAGCCAGGGCAGAGCTGGTGGCAAGCCCAGGGCACTTCTCGCTGCTCTAGCCCAGGCAGCCCCTCCTCTGGGCCTGGGCGGAGAGGTTAATTTGGGGAATGGACACAAAGAGGGAGGATCGAAGAGTCAGAGCCTCAGGAATGCCCAGCCAGAGCAGTTCAGACATTGAGAGGAGAAGCTGGCTCTGAGGAAGATTTATTTGCTCTGAGGCTCTGCATCCCCCAGCCATCCCCCCAGAGCCTCTCCCTGTGGGGAACACAGGACACAGGCAGAGTCCTCCCCACAGCTTGCATCTGTCCCCTGAACAGGGCAACCTGGACGCCAGGCTGGATGGAGGGGAGAAGGCGATGCAGCCGCAATGGTAGTCTCCATGGTGTGTGAGGAGCCGGCACCTGCTCTCACACGATGCCATCAAAGCCCTGCAGGCCACACTTCTTGCCGGCCACCTGGCACCCGAATCTCAGTGCTTCCTGCACGCTCCTCCCTGGAGGAGGGGCAAGTAGCTAGGTCAGCCAGGTGTTTGGGGCAGGGACAGGTCCCAGTCCTTTTCCCCTCCTGCTGCCATACTCACCCTGGGAGAGGCTGAAGATGACGGAGGCATTGAAGGTGTCTCCAGCTCCCAGTGTATCCACCACGCGGGGTGGCGGGAAAGCATCCGAGTGGAGCAATTTGCCATCAGGGCCCAGGGCGTCGGCGCCCTCCTCAGCCCAGGCACAGACAAGCACAGCCCTGCAAGACGGCTCCACTCAGCTGGGTGTTAGCCCACCCCGTCCCCCCAGCCATCCTCCCAGCTCCAGGGCGGACTCCTGGAGTCCAGGCTCATCCTGTACCTTCTAAAGCCCCTTCCTGGCTTCCCCGGCTCACCCTTTCCTCACACGACCATACAAGCCCCTCAAGGCTTCCTCTGCTGACTGGAACCCCAAGTGCTTGGCCACATCTTTGCTGACAAACACCTGTGGGCAGTGGAAGAGAAGCTGGTGGTCACTTCTAACTCGTCATTCACCAACAGCAGCCTAGCGTTGCCCCCATTACAACACGACTCCCCCAACATGTCCACATAGATCCCCAACGTAGCATCTCACTGTCCCACGGGAACGTGGTTTTCTTTTTTCTTTATTTTTTGTGAAGATGGTCTCCCTGAGGCTGGTCTTGAACTCCTGGCCCCATATGATCTTCCTGCCTCAGCCTCCCAAAATTTCTGGGATTACAGGTGTGAGTCACTGCACCTGGCCAGAAGCATATTTTTATCGATGCTTATATATAATAGAATACAGCCTTGTAAATTGTAAAACAAAAGGCCTGGTCCGTTTGTTCTCTGATCAATGGATTGAAAACCCACAGAAAGCCTTGAGCGCCACCTTGGGGTGGAATCTACCACCGCCATGCTGGCTCCCTGGAGCAGTTTTGCTGGTTTTTCCCACAACTATGTCCTCTAGGTATGGTTTCTTCATCTGGAAAACAAAGAGGCTCCCTCAACACTACCTACACTTTAGAATCTCCAGAGAAAGTTTTGGTAAAAACAAAAAACAAAACACCGAAGCCTTGGCTCTACCCCTGCCAATCAAAAACAAGATGGTGGGGCTCAGGCACTGCAATCCTCCTGCCTCAGCCTCCTGAGTAGCTGGGACTATGGGTGCACACCACCATGCCAGGAATTTTTTTTTTTTTTTTTTGTATAGAGACAGGGTCTTGCAATCTTGAATGACTGGCTGAAGTGATCCTCCTGCATTGGCCTCCCAAGGTGCTGGGATTACAGGTATGAGTCACTGCTCTTGGCCTAATTTATTTTCATAGAGACAGGGGTCTTGCTATGTTGTCCAGGCTGGTCTTGGACTCCTGGCATCAAGCAATCCTCCTACCTCAGCTTCCCAAAGCTCTGGGATTACAAGTGTGAGCCACTACACTTGGCCTGCATTCATCTTTTTTAATATGCAGCCAAGGTTGAGGACAAGTCACAAGGTTGAGGACCTTGGCTGGATGGTCTCCAACCAACTTCTGCTATGATGCTGGGATTACTTCCCAAATTCCATTTACATCCAGCCTTTTCAAAAAGAGACTCATGCAAGTCTCCTTCCCACCCTTCCCTCACCCTAGCAGCCCCCACAACCTGCCAGACACCCCTGAGTTGGAAGAAACCTCAGAGAACAGTTGTGTGCCCTCATTCTGCAGAGGAAAAGACTGGGGAGCCCCAGAGAGGAGATGCTTCCACACAGGCTTGCCCTGTGGCTGTTTAAGCCCTACCCAAGCCCTCTGGGCATTCTTACACCTATGCACCCACCTGGGGTGGAGACATTCTACTCCTTGCTCACTGCTGAGGCCTGCACTGGAGCCCAAGGCTAGGGGTCTACTTCTTTGCTTTAACCCCCATCCCCCATCTTCAAACACCACCAAACCAGGAACCACTATTCCAATTGTGGTAGGCAGGATAAAAGGATTCTGGCTCCCTTTAAGAACCAAATTAGCTGGAAGTGGCAAAGAGAGGCTGAATGGGGCACCCACCACGTCTCCGTAGCCAAACAGCTGGAAGAGCTCCTCTCGTGGCTTCTCCACCTCCACGGACACCCGGATCTTCTGCTCTGGAGGCTGCCTGGTGTTGTGTGCGTCTATCCGCTGCAGCATCTTCACCTGCTCCGATGCGTTCCGGCCCTGGTACAGGACAGGGCAGCTCAGGACCGCTGGGCACTGCCTGGCCAATCTGCCTCATTCTTCCTGCCCCGCTGAAACTCTGGGTGAGGAGGGAGAGGGCCTCGGGGAGGCTGGGCTAGAACCCCATCCTAAATTACAACATTCAGAGCTGTCGTGGACTTTGAAGACCTTATCAACCAGCTACTCCATTCCACAGATGAGAAGACTAAAGAATAAAAGATACTGTGAAAGACCTACCATAGGTTAAATGATGGAGCTAGAACTCAGGACTTCTCAGGATTTCCTTCCACCCAGACTCCAAAACCTCTCTTGGAGTAAAGGCTCTAGTTCCCTTTATTTGGGAGCTGAGTCAGGCCCTGTCCTTCCTGCTTCCCCAGAGGTAATGGGTCAGGCCCTAAGCAGTCAGACATCCGCCAGAGGCAGAGTTGGAGGCAATGGGGCAGCCCGTAGCACAGAAAGCACAGGACTTTGCCTGGAGCCAGCTGTGCTTACGTTCTGCTGTGTGACCTTGAGTAAGTCATCTAATCTTTCTGGGCCTTAGTTTTCTCACCTGAAGACATAAGGAAAGATGGAGAGAGAATGAGGGGGTTGGGTTCATTTATCTCTAAGGTACTTCATGATTCAAAGAAACCAAGGAGGCAGAACATGTGGAGGAGGCTGGCAGGTTGAGCCCCTTGAAACACAGGTAAGGCAGGGCTTACCTCAATGTGGATCCACTTGAACTGGGTCAGATCAACCTTCTCAAAGTCTGTAGCAGACACATCTGGCAGGCTCCTAGGTCACAGGATGGAAAAGACAGAGAAGAAGGAGCATGATGGGGTCAGGCAGAGCCAGGATCTCTAACTGGCAGCTGTGGACCCTGTGCCTGCACTGCTGGCAGCATGACAGGAAGCTGGATCCACAGCACAGGATTCTCAGGCTCAGCTCCAGGGTTGTCCCTGTTACAGTCTGCTGGGGTGCCCTTTCCTGAGTTTGAGGTTGTGATTAAATTATCTCGGTAAACTGAACTGCAACACATGTCAACTGGCAAGGTCTGTGTGCCTTGGAGACTGCATCTCCCAGAATGCACTGAGAGCGCCAAGCCTACACTTCCCAGAATCCCTTGCAGCAGCACACGGCTCCCACAGGCAGAGCCCTGGGAAAGTATAAAGCCCGCGACCCCCTGCCTGGGCTGTCTGGTCCCCCTCACTTCTGGCGCCCCAGCGTTGGGGTTTACCTATGGCACCCCTGTCCTGCGTTTAATAGCTCCCCGTTGCAACCCTGAGGTCAAGGTAGCACTTGAGGAAGAGTTTGTGTTTGGCCGGTTTAGGAAAGGGGACTCCCGATAGAGGTCTGCCTTGACCCTCCTGAGCCAGAGACCTCAACTCAGCCAAAGTCCCCGCTCCACGTTCTGTAGCCGAGTCCTTCCACTTAACTATAGCTGTGTGATCTGCCCGGGCCTTTGGGAGGCAACTTCCACATTGATAAATGGGGCTGAAACCCCCAGCCCCCTTGCAGCCTGCTGCAGTTGCAGGTAATGTGTGTGAATGTGCCTGGACTGAGGCCAGTGGGCAAGAAACATTTCTCCTCAGAGCTCCTCTCCTGTAAATAGCTATGTTGTGTCCTTGATCAGGGTTACTACGGATTGTTGCTTAACAAGCATTTGACTAGGATTGCCCAATGCGAAGGTCACCTGTAGCACATATGCCTGCCTACTCACACTCACTGCACATATGAAGCCCAGGGATGGCTGCCCCTCCTCCAGGTCCGGCAGTCAGGCTGGGCCGTAGGAACAGCCTGAACCTGAGGGCTGCTGGGCTTGGGCCCTCTCAGCCATAACAGTACCTGGCACGTACTAGGTTCTTAGTACACTAAACCTCTAAAATCCTGCAGGAGGGAGTCTGCAAGGGATAAGAAGTGTCTAGGCCCATGGGGCCTCTCTTGAGTGGCCTGGGACCCTGAAGGGAGGGATAGCCCCTTCCCCCAGGTCAGCACCATGTTAGATGACCCTGATCTGCTGACCCCATGTTTCCTTTCCCCTCCTTCAGCAATGGCTGTGAATGGTGTGTGGCCTGGCTTCATCATGCTGGAAACTTTGGGGGGCTGATCTCTTTTACACACCCAAACCCCAGCTCCTTGGTGCCATGCTGCAGGCTGGCAACTCTGGGGCTGACTTTGGAAATCCCAGTGGGCACCCCCCCACAGCCCTTCTTAAGAAGGGTTGAATCCCATCTCCCACCCTTCTGTCCTGAGAACAGTTTCCCCGCACCCACAGCCAAGCTGCTGATTAACGATTTAATAATTATGGAGGAATCACTTAATAAATTACAGTTTATATAGGCCTGCCTGCCCTTCTTTGGTGTTGACCAAGGCCAAGTCACCAGGCACAGCAAAGCCCATCCCTTCCCACCTCACTTTTCCCCTAATTGAAAGCAATTAGGAAATCACTGGACATTTTGGCAGGGGAGCAACTTCTGGTACACAGAAGCCACAGAGGGGGGCAGTTGGGATGCCCATGGTGGCGAGTGAGGGAACTGATTGAGCCAACTGATTGGTGGGTTGTAGCAGGGCGAGGCCCGGGGGCCTTACGTGTCATGGAGCACAATGGTACGGTTGCCATTGGAGTTGTTGATGATGCAGCAGGAGCTGGGGGTGTCCCCCTTGCTCTGCCAGGCCACCTGAGACACGTCCACGCCCCGCCGCCTGAAGTCGGCCACCAGGAAGCTTAGGGTGGAGGCCGGGCCAGGAAAAGGGCAAGGAGACACAGATTAGAGCCTGGAAGTGGTCTGGACCTCCAAAAGGAGTGGGGAGAGGGTGCTGGAGCACACGAGCCTCTAAGAGAAGAAGAGTCCTGTTCTGGGAGTTTTGGTGGCGGCGGCAGCAGCTGGCAAGGCACAGACAGTTGTACAAACCTGTCATAGTATAGGATGGTGCGGCTACCACTGGCCTCGTTGATGATGACCGTGGCGATGGGGACGGAGCCTGTGGTCTGAAAGACTGTGTAGCGTAGGTCCACAGAATAGCGGCGGAGGTCATCCAGGACAAAACTGCTAGGGCGGAGTAACCCGAAGGGGGTGCAGTTCGACAAGGGTTTTGGGGACTGGAGGGTAGCTGGCAGGGCCACTAGGGACCCTGAAAGGCAGGGGTGCAAGCAAAGGGGGCTGGGAGAGAACTGGGAATCACAGTCTTGCCACAGGCAGTGCAACAGGGCAGGAGATGCAGGAGTGCAGAGCCTGGAGCTCAGAGAGAGAAACACTAAGGGCCATCCTTTTAGGTCTTGGCTGAAGCATGCTCCGATCCTGACTCTGTTTTTCAGTCCAACTCATGCTGGAAAGGATTTGCTCCTGTTCATAAAGCTAGACAGGACCCTAGAACCTGTACACTGTTTGAACCAAGCATGTGGGGGCACCGTGGCTTGTTTCCTGCAATGCCCAAACAGGATTAATAATTAATCTCCAAGGCAATACTTTGCCCCCAGCTGTCCTCCACAAGCTCATCCAGGGTGCTGTCCTCTCTCAGTCCCTCCCAGTCCTAATGCTGTGATTCCTCTCACTCTCTGCCTGCCTCCAGGAGGCCCAGCCTGGAAGTGGTGCTGCCTTGGTGAGCCAGCTCACTGCTTTGTCCTCCTGCAGCCAGGTGAACCCTCCTGGGCAATCAGCTGGCTCCCCGTGCCTGATGCCACTCAGTATGGGCCTGGTCCAGAACTCTCTCCTGGAATGCCCTCCATGCAGAGTGAGCCCAGGGGCAAGGACAAGGAGGTCAGCCCCAGCCCTTCCAGCCCTCTATGGACAGGCATTGTTCTGTGCTCAAGAACTGGCAATTATGCCCAGCAGTCCAGCCACCATCCTGGCTTTTCTCACCTGGCCAGAGCCCGCTTTCAGCAACACCAAAGCTGGATAATACAGATTTGCATAAAGATACCAAGTCAGGGCATCATCCCTTGACTTACAACTCCTTTAAATAGTAACTTTCCCAAAGCATTGGAAATATGGTTTGGTTTGCCAAATAACTTTCGCACCCCAGTGCCTGGGACATGGTAGGTGCTCTCTAAATGTTTGTCGAGCACATGGGGAGAATTCTGAATAAACCACCCATTGGCCTGATTGCTATGTAAAGGAGAGTCGACCATCCTAAGCCAGAGCCACAGTCCTGCCTCTAGCTCAGAGGAAAGGAGCTATTAAAGAGGTTTAATGAGTCACCAGCCCTTGGTTCTGAGCCGTCCTGTCCCATCTCACAGGGCAGATTCTCTCCCTCTATTCTCTTCCTGCCAGTTCATCAAGGCAGGGAGTTTGGCTGTAGCTCAGGTGGTTGGACTCTGCCAGCAGCCCCCTTCAAACCAGGGTTCAAAGGGCTGCCCTTCACAGGCCAGCAACCTGGCAGCCTGCCCCCGTGCCCACAGTGTGCAAAGTGTGGGCCTCACCTCCCGATAAGTGCTTGCTGAGTCGGCAGCGCCAGGGGTCAAAGGGCTCTGAGGTCCCTGCAGCAGCCAACATGGAGGGCGTGCATGAGCCATTTAGGGCTATAGCCCTGACAGCCGGGGAACTGGGAGGTGTGGGTTCTGAGCCCAGCTTTAGCATGTGGCTTCAGGGTGTCCTTGAACAGGGTACTCTCACTGCTTCAGTGAACAACAGGGACATGAGCACCAGCCCTGCCTCTCAACTGGGACAGAAACTGTGGGCCTGGACCTGGGGGAGGATGGGTACCACGTGTCCCTAACTGCCTTCTGCCTCAAGCATGGCCAGGATAAGGGACTTAAGATAAGGCAAAGGCACATCCACCGCAGAGTCTGCAGGAAGCAAGGAAGGAGAAAGGAAGAGGCTGAAGCAGGCTCCAGAAGTGTCCAGGAAACAAGCTGTGGCAAGGAAAGCTTCACAGGGGCAGCATCAGCCCCCGAACCGCAGAGAGGCCACGCCAAGGCAGGGCTGGGCGTCTGGTGCTCCGCCATGCCCCCTCCCCGCGTTTCTGCTGGACACAACCCATTTCTAATCCCCCATCCACCCAGGGTGGATACATCCTTCTTCTCCCACAATGATGCAGGCAGGCCTTCCCCAGTGGGCTCTCCCTCCTGGACTTACTCAGCAACATGGCCAGGAGCCATTGAGCCCATGAAGGCACAGGGGGCTCCGAGCAGGGAGAGAACGGTGCAGGAGTTGGACGCGTTGCCTCCGCGCTGCCATCTCTGGGACAAACACCTGCAAAGCACAGGGAGGGTCCCTGCAGCCCCAGCAGGCTGATCCCAAGCACAGTCTCCTGTATAGGGGCCTACAGAATGTAACAGCTGGGGACTCCTCTCAGAAAGCATCTAGGCCGACGTCTCACTTTGTACCCGGGGCAGCCGAGGCCGGCCAAGGGAAGGAGCTTGGCTGAGAGCGGTGTCTACCTCCCCAGCCCAGGCTAAATTCAAGCTGACAGCAGTTCCTTTCAATATTTCCATCTGTTCCTAGGGCAACAGGAAACCACTCACTTGGGTCCATCACTATTCGAGAGACCCACTAACTCCAGGTCATCTCCTCCTCACCTTTCACCCCAGTCAGAGCTGCTCCAGACGCTGCACCTTTGGCCTCCTCCTTGAGAGCTGGAGCAACTCCAAGGACCTCGGGGACTAAGTGCCTCTTCCCAAAGGTATCACATTTACACCTACCCCTGTGTTAGGAGTGTCTACTTCAATAGAAACTGCAGAGCTATAAAATCAAACGAGTAAGACAGGACAGCAAACCTGGACGTTGGTCGTTTAAGAAGTGGCAGCAGGGAGCACTTCTCCATCTTTACTAAAAACCAACCAAAAGGAAACTAACAAGACACACGTGAAGGGCTTCATTGTCATCAGCAGCAAAAATGATAACTTCCACATAGAGGGTCAACGCACTGATCCCCTCACAGTGTTACTGGAGCCCAAATGAGAAATCATTAATGAATGTTATTACCTTTGAGGTAAGAATGGTGGTGTTATTTCTATTGTGCCAGTTCCAATAATAATAATAATTGTGGCAGTTTACAATAAAAGGAACAGTACCAAAGAACCACGAATTAAGAGAAAAAACCGAACCAGAATTTTTAGGCCAAAGCATATTTGTACGCGAAACTTCAGTTTTGGGAAAAGGGGAGCACGATGTCATTAGAAAAAAAATGATAGTAGGACAGGCACAGTGGCTTATGCCTATAATCCCAGCACTTTGGGAGGCCAAAGCAGGAGGATCACTTGAGCCCAGAAGTTCGAGACCAGCCTGGGCAACCAAAGGGAGCTCTTGTCTCTAAAAAAAAAAAAAAAATTAAAAATTAGCTGGGTATGGTGGTGCATACCCGTGGTCCCAGCTACTCAGGAGGCTGAAGTTGGGGGAGCGTATGAGCCCGGGAGGTTTAGGCTGGGGTGAGCCATGATACTGCACTCCAGCCTGGGTGGCAGAGTGAGATCCTGTCTCAAAAACAACAATAACAACAATGACAAAGGATAGTAATTTTTTTGTTTTTTTGAGACAGAGTCACTCTGTCACCCAGGCTGGAGTGCAATGGCATGATCATGGTTCACTGCAGCCTCAACTTCCCCAGCTCAACTGATCCTCCCACCTTAGTCTCCCAAGTAGCTGGGATTATAGGTGTGCATCACCATGCCCCGCTAATTTAAAAAATTTTTTCGTAGAGATGGCATCTTCTTATGTTGCCCAGGCTGGTCCCGAACTCCTCGGCTCAAGCGATCCTCCTGCCTTGGCCTCCCAAAGTGCTGGGATTATAGGTATGAGCCACTGCACCCAGCTGGTCAAAGATTTTCAAGCTGGCCGGGCGCAGTGGCTCACGCCCATAATCTCAGCACTTTGGGAGGCTGAGGCGGGTGGATCACGAGGTCAGGAGTTCAAGACCAGCCTGGCCAAGATGTTGAAACCCTGTCTCTACTAAAAATACAAAAATGAGCCGGGTGTGGTGGCAGGTGCCTGTAATCCCTGCTACTCGGGAGGCTGAGGCAGGAGAATCTTTTGAACCCGGGAGGCAGAGGTTGCAGTGAGCCAAGATCATGCCACTGCACTCCAGCCTGGGTGACAGAGTAAGACTTTGTCTCCAAAAAAAAAAAAAAAAAAAGAAAGAAAAAAGAAAAAAAAGATTTTCAAGCTGAGCTTTACAGCTTTACAGAAATTTTTACGAAAAGATATGAAAAAAAAGGAGGAATCTCGAGGGATCTGACTTGATCAATAGTTAAGGACAAAGCTGATGTGGGAACCCAATTTCCTGACCCCAAAGCCATTGCTAATTACTCCGTATTTTAAAACTAAAAGTTGTTAGGCCCAAGCATTGAGGTTTCTAAGAAAGGATATAGAATTTTACTCTGGGGAAACCCTTCAAAGTCACACTGATATTTCCTGTGCAGAAATGCTCAGCTAAAGGCTGGGCGCGGTGGCTCACGCCTGTAATCCCAGCACTTTGGGAGGCTGAGGCAGGCGGATCGCCTGACGTCGGGAGTTCGAGACCATCCTGACCAACATGGAGAAACCCCATCTCTACTGAAAGTACAAAATTAGTTGGGTGTGGTGGCACATGCCTGTAATCCCAGCTACTCGGGATGCTGAGGCAGGAGAATTGCTTGAACTCTGGAGGCGGAGGTTGCAGTGAGCCAAGATCGCACCATTGCACTCCAGCCTGGGCAACAAGAGCAAAACTCCAACTCAAAAAATAAAAAAAAGGACACGTCCCAGGGGTCTGGCTGAGCTCCAGGTGGCGGCTCCCAAGAGTCCCCAACTGCCTGTCAAGCACAGAGACCCTAGGACAGGTGGGGCTGAGACACCCAGGAAGGACTGGGTCCCCACTCGGATGTGCTCCTCTGGGAGGCACAACAGTTCAGGAGCCAGGCTGCAGGGAACCAGGGCCATGGGGCTGCGGGGAAGGCATGGCCTGGAGTGCAGGAAGCATGATGGACATGGGAAGGGGCCCTTTAGAGAAGTGCCTCGCTCAGTGCCCACCTTCAGAACCTGCCCCATCAGTGTGGGTGCTAGCAGGACCTCCTTCTCCTACCTTCCCGACAGAATTAAGCTGAGAGGAAATGGGACTTCAGCTCTGACAGAAAGAGGCGCTGAGTCTTTTCCCAGGCTCTCCACGGTCCTTGGAGAACCTGTGGCCCTGGAATTTGCACTGTTGCCCTGAGATGAACCCAACTCCTCACTGAGTGCCATGTCCTGTGGCTGCCTCGACCTTGCACAGTGGGTTAGGTCTACACAGTGGCATGCCCGTGCCCCTTCCCCAGTCCCTGCACCCCTGGCAAGGGGCCCTAACCTCTGGCAAACCAAAGCAAAGGGTCAACTCCAAGAGATGGTCAACAGCAAAGGGACAGGGTATACAGGAGATGACAGAGGGCAGGGACCCTGGACTCCACACTAGGAGACTCGAGCTGCAGCTGCCACTGTGCCACCATTTAACTCCGTGGCCTTAAAAAACATCTCCAAATCTTCAGCTTCCTTATCTGTATAAAGGATTTCACTGATCTTTACACAGTTCCCATGGGCTGCTGGGAGGAGAGTATAAAATAATATATGTGATGGTGCTTTGTGGCCCCAAAGCCTGAGGAGTGTCGGGGTCTCTCACCTCAGTTAGCCTGGCAGCCATCAGCACTGTCGTGTCTTTGTGGAGTTCAGTCTTGAACTGCCTCTTATCCAGTTCTTAGCTGCGACAACTGATATAGCCCAGGAGCAATTCTCAGTGTTCTAAGCACTCACTGACTGCACCAAGAGAAAGCTAGTGTCCCGCCCCACAGAAATGCCTTCACAGCATTACAGTGTAATGGTGGGGCCCTTATCAAGAGGAAATACAAGAACCAATAAGCCGGGTGTGGTGGCTCATGCCTGTAATCCCAGCACTTTGGGGGACTGAGACGGGCAGATCACTTGAGATTAGAAGTTTGAGACCAGCATGGCCAACATGTCTTTACAAAGAAAAGCCCTGTCTCTACAAAAGAAAAAAAAAATTAGTGGGGCATGGTGGCGTATGCCTATAATCCCAGCTACCCAGGAGGTTGAGGCAGGAGAATCGCTTGAATCCAGGAGGCGGAGGTTGCAGTGAGCCAAGATCATGCCACTGCATTCCAGCCTGGGCAACAGAGCGAGACTCTGTCTCAAAAAGAAAAAGAACCAACAAATCGGCTGGGTGCAGTGGCTCATGCCTGTAATCCCAGTACTTTGAGAGGCCAAAGCAGGAGGACTGCTTGAGCCCAGGAGCTCAAGACCACTCTGATCAGTATAGTGAGAACCCGTCCCTTATACAAAATTTAAAATACAGCTGGGATGGTGACGTGCATGTGTGGTCCCAGCTACTCAGGAGGCTGAGGTGGGAGGATCACTTGAGTCTGGAGGTCAAGGCTGCAGTGAGCATGGTTGCACCACTGCACTCCAGCCTGGACGACAGAATGAGACCCTGTCTCAAAAAAAAAAAAAAAAAAAAAAAAAAAGAACCAACAACTGACTCTTCAGTTTCTAGCAGACAACTGAGAAAGATATTTCCCACTACTAAACGGTGTTCATTGACCTCTGTGAAAAGGACTTCTGGTAAACTCCTCTTGGAATTTAGCACCAGGAAAAAGCTTGCCAGGGCTCATGAACCAGCTCTATCCATACATAACCCATGGCATCTCATGTTTGCCTCCAGTGCCAGCAAGCCCTGAGCTATAGTTGAAGCTCAAATACCATGGTCTTAAATGTTCTCCAACAGTTTAACTGTACATACTTTTTACTGTAAGCTACCTCAAATCTTTCTCAGAAATAGGTGCGAGATATGTGGATAAATAAGTTAGAAGTAAATGTTGATGAGAGGCAAGTGCATAGGCTTGGGGTTTAAAAAGAAACAGCAGAAGCAGGTAGCTGTGTGCCCCTGGATAAGCCCCTTGGTCTCTGAATCTATACTTATCAGTAAAATGGGGATCCTGATGCCTGACACCTGACACCTGATGCCTGAGTTGAAATGGAAATTGGCTAACACGATGCTATTAAATCCTGGGTCTTCTTATTAAAGGCCTCAATTCCTTCCTCTCTTCTGTCATGCTGGGAGCCCCCCCAGGATTCCCGGGTAGAGGGCGCGGGTCCGGCCTTGAAGCCGGGTTCTCAGGGCCTCACTGCGGGGTCTCTGCAGCCTCGGTCGCTGGCACAAATGCTGGACTGCAGCAGCCCCTGGGGTCCCCTAGGGGACCTGGGCGCCCCTACCTTATCTCCGAGTCCTCCTTAGGGTACTTGTCCACCAGGCTGATGACGTCCAGCACCACTAGCCCCACGCACAGGATCTGCTTCTCTTCCATGAGGCTACTCCCAGAGCTTCCTGCCCGCCCGGCTGACGGGGTTCCTCCCGGCCTCTGCCTCTTATCCAGGAGGATGGTGTCCCCGCTCCCAGCTGCCCTGGCTCCTCCTCCGCGTGGGAGCTCCTCCTCCAGGGAGCCACCTGCAGCGGCCAGGGGTGCAGGGAACGAAAGGAGCAGGGCCCTTCCTCGCGACACCCGAAGACCCGAGCGGGTCTAGGAAAGCCAACCCAGAGGTCTTGGTCCCCGGTCTTCCCGTAGCAGGTTGCCTGGGCCTGCAGATGGCAACGCCTCCCACTTCTCAGCCTTAGTTTCCTCGCTTGTCAGATGGACTCACAGCTGATGCAAACCTTTTTAAAGCGCGGCTAAGCGATCTCGAGAATGCAAAGAGAAAATGCGCTACTTGCCCCGCACTCTCCTGCACCTGCGTCTCCGACTCCCGACCCGGGACACGCGAGGTACAGCTGGGCCTCGCATCTGCAGCCCTGCCTGAAGCCCGCGGTCGCGGCGGCCCCGCCCCGCCCCGCCCCGCCCCGCCCCGGTTAGTCCCAGCCGAGGCCACGCCTCCGCCGCGGAGGAGCAGGACCCGCCGGGTGGGCCGCAGCCTCACGTGGCGGGAACGCAGAGCGCCCCCTGGCGGACGCCGGCGAAACGGGCGTGACACGGGGGAGACGTCGCAGGAGCCGGGCGGGCGCCGCTTGCTGCCTGAGCCAACCCCGAGCCGCCCCGAGCCGGGCGGAGGCGGCGAACGCAGTGCGGAACCCGGGGTCCTCTCCGGAGGCCGTCGTCTCTCCCGCCCCGTGCCCTGTGCACGCCCGGCAGCCCCCGACCCCGTACCGTAGCAGAACGGTTCGTTTAGTTTTTTTTAGAAAAACCAAGTGTCTTTATTCCTCGATCGTTTAGTATGGCGGTGGGCGGCGCCCGCGCGGGGGAGCCTGGAGCCCAGGGAATCGACCTGGAGGGCCAGTGGAGGGAGCGGAGGGTGCGAGGATCGGCTCCTCCGCAGGCCGGCCCTGGAGGGGTTCTTGGGGGATCGCGCCAGGCCAAAAGTCTGCATGGGCGGCCCCGAGCCTCCCTGAGCCGGCGCGCCCCGGGCGTGGGGAGAGGCCGCTCTGGGCGCGGTGCCGCTGCGGGCCCGGGTGCGGCGCTCGCCCAGGGCTAGGTGCCCCGTCTCAGGCGAGACCCCAGGAGCCCGCCGCCCCCGCTGTCTCTTCAGCCGACGTAGACACGTCGGGCGGGACCCCAGTCTACGCGTGTTCAAGCTCTGGGTCCCCATAGAGCAGGGCCCCGCTGAAGATGGTGAGCGGCTCCTCCGAGTGCGCCAGCTGCCCCATGACCAGGTCGACGCAGACCGTGTCCCCGGCCTGCAGCGGCAGGATGAGGCTGAAGACGCCCAGGGTGCCCGGGCTGGGCTGGCTCTCGGCCACCGGCTTATTCTCCAGGCCCTCAGGCTCGTAGCCACCGGAGTCTACGCGGGCCACGCCCTGGTTGGAGCGGGACAGCACGGCCTCCACTTTCTCGTGCCGGTGCCCAGTCAGCACCGCGCTCAGCAAGTAGCGTCCAGCCAGTGGCGCTGTGAACACGCCTGGGGACAAGGATAGCAGTCAGGGGGGCCAGGGAAGCTCCGGGGAGCGCACCAGAACTCCTGGACTGAGGAGGGACCCTCTGGGTCTTTTCACCTCACTGGAATGTGAGCGGCAGGGAACTGGGGGCTTTGTTCACTATGCATTCCCAGCACTTAAAACAGTGCCTGGGCAGGAGCAGGCCCCAGTAAAGATCTGCTGAATGAATGAATGACTACTTCTTCTCCCCACTGCCTGAGAATGAATAAATGAAGAAAGAGCCGGGGTCTCCCCAAATCAGAGAATGAAGATTCACACTGTCGGAAAAGGCAAGAATGGGAAGATATCACTGCACACCTCACCCATTTCTCCAACCGTTCAACCCAGCCCCTCCCAGGACTACCTGTCTCTGGATCATAATAGCCTCCATCATTGAGCAGGACTCTGTCGAAGGGGACCGTGCCTGGTTCAGACCGGGGCAAACTCAGAGCAGCTGAAAATGCCACTTGGGGCACAGGGGCTGCTGGTGCCCCCTCCACTCCTGAGTGGGAAGGGTGGATGTTAAAGGGGATGCTCAGGGCAGAGTGCCAGCCCCCTTCCCCTGCTGGATCCCCAGCCCAGGGCTGCCCGAGGACCTCTATCCTCCAACCCCTAGTCACTTCTCCCTCCAGAATCAAATGAAAGGCACTCACCCTGTTCACCTTGAGGACCTGTGAGAAGAGGAAAGGGAGCAGTGAGAAATAAAGCAGCTCTCACTAAGTCACTCAGCAAACATCTGCTGAGGCTCTCCTGTTGTGCTCGGTGCTACGTGGACTTCAAAGCAGGAATTGGGGTATCAAGAAAAACAGGAATAGGTAGGGTCCATTCTGTTCAACTGCTGGGCCATCCCAGCCTTTCACACCCCAGACAGCTATAATAGACTCAGCTTTAGTCTCCAGTACTGCAGTGGGGCCAACATTATCCATTAGCCTCCTAATACCCATTAACCAAACACAGTGACTATCACAGTTCCTCCTCACTTTCCTCTGATTTTCCCTTATCGGTCAGGTAGTACCCAATTCCCCTTGTCAAGTTCAGAGTGGAATGTCAAGCCTGGGGCTGCCAGCGGGGGTCAGGGTTGGAGGGGGCAGTGGCAACCCTGACTGCAGCAAGGGTCTCAGTGCACATACCTGGTGGCCCGATGGGGCCCTCTTGCCCGTCCTTGCCTGGTGATCCTGGAGGTCCAGCAGGGCCTGGGGGTCCCTGCAGCCCAGGAGGCCCTGGGGGCCCAGCCTCTCCTGCAGGCCCTACAGTGACAAAATTGAGTTGAAGGAGGGCCATAAAAGGAGTTTCCAATGGGTAAGGAAGGTGGGTGGTGGCTTCATGAACAGGGAGAAGATGGATGGAACAGGTGGAGCTTTGCAGGCTGAGGGGGCCATGGGGTCCCTTGCTGCATATGCTGGATCCCTGGCTGGCAGAGCAACATCCTCTCTCCACCCACAGGCCTAGTGAGCAGCCAGAGGGAGGGCGGGAGCTAGGACCTTGCATCATCTCTTGCAGGCAAACTATAACACCTGGAATACTGGCTGGGGCTGCAATTCATGTTGGGAAAAGCAAGGAGAAAGCAGATGAGTTGGAAGCTGGGCTGGGGGAGGGAGAAGAAAAATAAGGGGCTTGAAAGGGGTCCCCTCATGCCTTTTGTCCCCTCACCAGTGAGGTCCTTCAGGCTGAGCTGGTGCAGACGGTCCTCCAGGAGCTGCAGGGAGCTGTTAAGGGCACCCAGCCGCCTGCCCAGGCCCGCCTGTCCCCCGACCAGCTTCTCCAGCAGGGCTGCCTGCATCTGGCTGGTGGTGTTGGTTTCCCGGAGCCCAGCCCAGAGCCCAGCCACGTGTCTGGAAAGGCCCTCGCGCAGGCCCTGCAGTCCCCCAGCCACAGTGTCCAACCGTTCACAGACACCCTCAAGACGGCCCAATCGCCCCTCTAAGCTGGGGCACTGGCCGGCCTGTGCTTGTCCCTCCTCTAGGCCTCGGAAGCGCTCTTCACTCTCTGTAGCATGCTCTGTGGCCTCCTGCTGCAGCCTGTTAATCTCAGAAATGATACGGTCCTTGGTTGCCCCCAGGTCAGCCAGATCAGCGCCCTGGCCCTCCACAGTGGTCTGGAGCTCATTCAGTGAGTCATTGAGGGAGCTGAAGCTGAGAATAACCTCAGAGAGCTCTCCTTGCAGGGCCTGCAGGGCTGAGCCTGAGCTGCCCCCAAACACGCTGAAGCCGTCCAGGGGCCCACGGCTTGGGCCCCCAACACCTGGACCAGCCCCAGGACCCCGAGGAGGCAACAGGGGGCAGGAGCAGCGCTCCACACCATCCCGAAGGCGGCCTAGTTCCTCTTGGACTCCGCCACAGGCCCCACAGCCCTCATCCCCATGGGCCTGCAGCAGCCCCTCCAGTTGGCCTAGCCGGGCCGCAGTGAGATTCAGCCGTAGTGTGAACTCTGCAGCTGTCTCATCCTGGGCATCCACACGATCCTGGAGCCGGCCCACAACCTCTTGTAATCCCTCCAGCGTGGCCTGCCGGGCCTCCCCCGCTGCTTCCACCGTGTGCAGGCCGGAGCCCACCAGCCGCAGCTGCCCCTCACTGTCCAGCACCCTGCGCTCCAAGGCACTGAGGATCTCGCTGACTTGAGAGTCCTGCTCCCCAGGGGCCCCAGAGCAGAGCTGCCCGCATGCCTGCATGGCCCCTGCCACCTGCTCCTCCAACAGATCCAACCGCCCCCCCAGCTCCCCGCTCACATTGGCCAGCAGCCCCCCCAACTGCTCTAGTCGGCCCCGGGCAGCAGGCAGCCAGTGGCTCAGCCCCCCAGGAGCCCCAGGCCAGCTCTCCTCCTGCTCCTCCGAAGGGCCCAGGGTGGAGTTGAAGCGGTCCTCCAGGCGAGACAGGCGGGAGGCCAAGCTGGTGTAGCCTGGGGGGTGGCCTCCCTGCCCCGCGGCTCCTCCCAGCTCTGTGCCTCGCCGCCCACTCAGCACTGTCACTGAGCCGGCCACGACATCCAGCCTGCGCTCCAGCTCTGCCAGTCGCCGGCCCAGCTCTGGAGAGCAGCATTCCTGAGGGGGCCTGCGGCCCACCGCCAGCCCTGCGAGGTGCCGTTGCCGCTCCTCCACCGAGGCCAGCAGCTTCTCCATCGCTCGCAGCCGCTCCCTGTCCTCCTGCTGCTGCCGGCGGAAGCCATCTAGCCCGGCCAGGCACACGGAGCAGGACTCCTGCAACCGCTGCTCCAGCTGCCGCAGCAGCTCCTCACTGGGGCCCGGAGGGGCTGAGGCTGGGGCTGGGGCCCTGCTGCCCCCACTGCTGCTGCTGCCGCCATGATGGTTGTTGAGGTGACCCAGCTCCTGGTCGTGGGTGGAGACGCGGGTGTCCAGGAGCTGCAGCTGGTGCTGGATCTCATTGAGGGTTTCATGCACCCCAGGGCGGGCAGCCGCGTCAGCTGGCTGCTGCCTCCCGTTGAAGGCCGTCTCCACAGCCCTCTGCACATCCTCTGCCAGGCGCCCGCTCAGTCCTTGCAGGACGCCCCGCAGGCCTTGCAGCTCCTTGGTCAGGCTCTGCACCTGTTCCTCCAGCTGCTGCACCTTCTC
Source organism: Homo sapiens (assembly GCF_000001405.40). Taxonomy (NCBI): domain Eukaryota; kingdom Metazoa; phylum Chordata; class Mammalia; order Primates; family Hominidae; genus Homo; species Homo sapiens. The sequence goes on along the minus strand of NC_000002.12, from coordinate 27,082,096 downwards.
TGACTCCCCAGGACCTGAGGAGAGGGGAAGGCAGAAGGCAGAGGGGCTGGACCCCAGAGCTCAAGGCCCCTGCTCACCCCAGCTCCAGCAAGGGTCAGATGCCCAGGCTGGCTCTGCCTCTCCTTTGGGTGATTTTGGCAAGAGAAAAAAAAAGAAACTCCATTCACTGAATGCCTCTAGGCCAAATATGAACCATGGCTCTGTTCTTCAATAACTCCCCTGGGGAGATACCATGAACTCTTCCCATCATATAGGCTGGGAAACTGGACCAGAGATATTAGGTGCCTGGCCATGGATCACAGGTTTAATAAATGGCAGTGCTAAGTTTCAAACCCAGACCATCTATCCAGCCCCCAGGTCCATGTCCTTTCCACCTGCCCAGAGTGCCTCTTAACTTCTTGGAAACTCTTTCCTCTTCTGCGAAAGGATAATGACACTCTTCTGTCATGGGGCTGTCAAGAGGGGCGAAATGGGAGTGTAGGGAGGCACTCTGGATGCCACAACAGTAGCTACCACTGGGTGACACTTCCCTGCAACACCACGGGGACAAAGAAGAGGCTCTGTGGACGGTGAGAGTTGGCCAGGAGTTCCTGTTTGCATAATTATAGTAAGGCTATCTCGGGGCAGGGAAACAGCACATCCGGTGTGCAGCACGCAGGAGGGAAGGCAAGCCACAGGAACTGCTGCATGCTGGGACCTGCGGTCTCCAGAGGCCACGGAGGGGTCTGGGATCTGTAGTCAGGTGCAATGCATGCTAGGATTTGTAGTCTCAACTGTCTGTCCCCACGGACCAAGCTTCTCAAAGGAATGCCCCTTTCTCCTGCAGCTGTTTGAAGGATCTTGGCCACATGGGGCGTGTGCGAGCACCTTCTCTTTTTTGGCCTTCTTTTTCTCAGTCTCTCCATCTTTTGCGTGCTCTCTCCCTCTCTCTCACACAGACACACAAATACACACACACACACACACACACACACACACACACACACACGGGCAGGGAATCTCTGCGATCTCACTAACCCTTCTGCCCCTCTCTTCTCTCTGGCATAGAGCACGGGGGACTCCCCCAGCAGCCTGGCCCCACATTTCCCATTGCATTGGATCACCATTTGGAACTTGCCACCCTCGCAGCAGCTCCCACACTCACCTTCTCCCCCCAGTCCACTGAGGGGGCTGCCTGCACTGGAGCCAGAGAGGTTGGGGCGGGCAGGCCGGGCCAGGGGCCGTGGTGTGGAAGACGCAGGCCCCAGCGCTGGAGCGGGACTCTCAGCACAGTCATCGCCCCCATAACCCTGACAGCACCTCCACTCCATGTCGGTCACTGTCTTGTAGGCCACACGGTAGCGAGGGCGGAGGAAGCGGCGGTACCTGGCAGAGGCAGAAGGAGGCCTCTTTATTCCTCCCTGTACGGTCAGTGACCCTGGTCCCTGTCCTCAGGGGTGGGCAGCTGCTGGTGGGCATGGCCTGTCCCTCAGGCTGGGTCCCTCTTACTGTCCAACATGTGGCCTTGCTTAGCTGACAGCTGTCAGCTTTTTGGCCAAGGGTTAAATCCCTGCTCTTCCTTCCCTTGCCCTGTGCTGGAACCTTGAACTCCTCTGCTTGAGCCTGAGCCATCCCAGAGAAGGCATCTGGGGCTGGCGCGTGAGGCAGGTTTGCCCTCAGTCTCCCACCAGCCAAACTGTTGTCTCAGTATCTCCTCAAAATGGCTGTGACCCTAGCCCCTGTCCTGCCCTTGCTCCCTGCTTCATACAGACTCCCTGAGTCAGCCACCCACCATCTGCCCTCGCCCAGTTCCCACCAAGGGCCCGTTGCCCGGCCCTGGGACTCACATGATGCTTTGGGGACACTGGGGCTGGCCCCAGGCACAAGGCTGGTACTTGACATATGTCTCCACTCCATCCTCAAGGACACAGCTCACTGTCCGGGTCACCACGTAGGCACACCAGTTCCTGTAGGTACAACCCCCTCTGGGTCCAAGGACCAAAGATACATGCCCTGGAGGAGGGCCCAGGGGCTACCAGAGGGGCTGAAGAAGGCTCCAAAGATGCAGAACCCTTGGGGATCAGTGAGAGCAAGGGCTTTGGCATCGCCACCCTCCCTATCCCCCACGCTTTCCTGTGTAGCAGGAGCAGATAAAGACTTTTCAAGATGGGGAGACGCGCAGAATGGAAAACCACAGAGCAGTCAATCCTCATGGTGGTGGGGTCCCGGGGAGCCTCTGAATGTACACAATCATGTGTGTCCCTTTCTGGGCCTGTCTCAGTCCCCAGATTGGCATGCTGTGTGCGCATAGCCAGCCCGGGCCCTGTGGGTGATCTGAACACTGGCTTCCACCCCACCCCTCCAGGAGAAGACGGGCAGGCCAGCTTGGGGTTAAGTAGAGAATAAGCCATTGATGAGCCTGCCCCTCTTGGGGATTGCAGTTCTATACTCCTGGCCCCATTCACTCCGGCCTCTGATCTGTGTCTGGCTGGAGGGCTGGAGGGAACAGAGCTGGAGTGGTGTCAGAATTATGGATTACTGGATGGGGTCAAGGGAGCCCTAGAAGGGGACAAAAGTTCTCCCTGAGGCTCTGGGGCTAGGATACAGAGGGCAGCTGGCAGGAAGGCCTGGCCCGCTCCCCTCAGGGCAGCTTCCCTGGGGCATGTGGGAGCGGACCCCCTAGGTGACCCAAGGAACATATGTGTTCAGGGGGTCCTGGAAAAGGCCCCGTGGGAAGGTGGGCATGTGAGGAGCCACCTGATGGATGGGCTTCTCACTCCCCCTCTGCCCTGCATTAGCGGACACAGCAGAGAGCCAGGCAGAGGTGGCATTCTGACCCCTTCCTCACCACCCAAGCCTCGGGCTGGGATCCAGACTCTTACCTGTGGCGGCTGGCTGGCCGGGGGGCAATCTGGGCCTGGGGCCCCCCGGGGCTGAGGGCCCCACTGGAACCTGTGTAGAGGCTGAAACCTCGAGGAGGGTAGCTGGCGGCCCCTGCAGCTGCCGTCAGCAGGCAGCAGAGGTAGCAGCTCCAGAGGGTGCGGGGGGCCATGGCGGGGCGCTCCACAGTGGCCCTCAGAGACTCATCCCGCCCAGCCACTGGCGCCTCTGCCGGCCCCGGGGATGCTGCTGCTCCACAGGACAGCCCGAGCCCGGCCCGTCCGTCCCAGTTTCCTTCTGATAGCCCCCGGCCACACGTCTTCTCCTTGGCTGCCTGGCCTGACCCCTCTCCCCTCCTCTTTCCTCCTCAGCTCCTGTCCGTCCCCTCTCGGTTCCTTCCGCTCTCCTCTTCACTTCTGAGGGGGTTTGTTCTCTGTGCCCCCTCTGGCCTCCCGCGCCTGGTCCCTGCCCCTCTCAGGAGCTGCGTCTCAGAAGTTGCCTCCTGGGCGTCCGCCCCCTCGTCCCAGCTGGCCCTCTTCTGGTCTCCCTGTCCTCTTTCCCTGATGACCGGATCCTGGGGGTGACAGGGCTTTGCCCCTGTGGCTGTTCGGAGGCGCGAGAGTGGCTGTGGGGCGGGCCCTGGCCTCCTCCTCCCTGCTGGCTCCCCTCCCTTCCCCCCTGTCTGGCTGGCGGTCCGGCCTCCCCCTTCCTCCCCCCACCTCTCCAACCATCGTGCGCCACATCTGCTTCTTGTTAACTCCGGGAAAGAGGGAAAAAAAAGGAAAAACAGAAATGTGGAGTTGCCGCCGGGCTTGAGGCCAGCCTCTCAGATGGGCCACATGGAGCCAGGGCCGAAGCTGGGAAGGAGGCCCAGGGCTGGTCACTCCGACTGGGAACAGGAGCCAGGGCCGCAGCTCCCCTGGGGCTGGAGCAGGCCTCCCCTGGGGGAGAGGGCCCCAGAGAGGGAGCCCAGAGGGGAGGGTGGGAGGGAAGGACTGACTGGACAAGGGAGAATGAACTCGGAGGGCTCAGCAGGACTTCACTCACCGTCTAGTCTAGCAGTCTCCTTTTAGAGATGTGAAAATTGAGGTCAGAGTGGGAGAGTGACTTGTCCAAGGTAACACAGCAAGTCAATGGTGAGGCTGAGAACACACACTAAATACTAGGTCAGTGACTTGGGAGAAAGGAGGAGAGGAGAATGTGCTGCTGGGCCAGGGAGGAAAAGGTCAAGGACTCCACTGAGGCAGATGGGAAATCCACAGATGACAGAAGAGGAAGAAAGGGCCTTGTGTGGTGGCTCACGCCTGTAATCCCAGCTCTTTGGGAGGCTGAGGTGGGCAGATCACAAGGTCAGGAGTTCGAGACCAGCCTGACCAACATGGTGAAACCCCATCTCTACTAAAAATACAAAAATTAGCCAGGCATGTTGGCACACGCCTGTAATCCCAGCTACTCAGGAGGCTGAGGCAGGATAATCGCTTGAACCCGGGAGGAGGAGGTTGCAGTGAGCCAAGATCACACCACTGCACTCCAGCCTGGGCGGCAGAGCGAGACTCTGTCTCAAAAAAAAAAAAGAAGAAGAGGAGGAGGAAGAAAAGCACCTGGCAATGGGGAGCAGGCTTCTGTCAAGCGGTAGAGGGCACGTGGGCAGGAAGAGAAAGAACCTTTCTTAAAGGGATAAATGAAAATGGGTCCTGGGCTTGTTTTGGTGATGGTCAGGCCATAACTGGATGAGGGTGGGGGTGAGGTAAATCGGGACCTATCTTTAGAGCACCAAAGGAAGTCAGTCCCTGGCCTGGAGGCAAGTCTGATAGCTCTCAGTGACAGGCAAAGAGCCGTCAGCCTGACCTGAAAGTTCCACCTGCGCCACCTTGATCTAAAAGCTTGGTCCCCGTCACCATCTGACCCGCAGCTCTTGACCAGGGTCTCCAGCTGGTGGGATGCTTGGGAGAAAGAAACAGAAGCACTAGACAGAAAGGAGACAGGAGAATGCTGTGTGCCAGGCACTGCGGAGGTGCCCAGGTAGCAAAGGCATAGGTAAGACCCAGACGCTGTCCACTAAGGAGCAACTGAGGTTGTTGGAGAATGGGACACAAGCCCCCAAACAGAGAACCGTCACAAGCCAGGACAGAAAAAGTGCCAAGGGGCAGGACAGAGGGATGATGTGTGTTCCAGCTAGGAGGAGGGAAAAGACAGCTGGCTGCTGGAGACAGTCAGAGGAGAGGCTGGAAAAGACAAAAGCTGAACAGCATTGGGGTGGGGGCGGGGGTGGGGGGCAGGAGTCAAGAACAGAGACAAGGCAAGGAGAGAGATTTCAGGCTCAGGAAGAGCGGTCTGCCTCAGTCTCCTCAGCTGTAACACAGGAATAACAGGACTCTCCATCCCACTTTGTGAGGATTAAGTAAGTCAGTGCATGTAAAGCATTCTAGAACAGTGTCTGGCAAATGGTAAATGCTCAATCAATGTTAGCTCTTTTTTTTGTGTCAGGAAAAAATGGGACCGAAATTCAGAGAGGTAGATTGTGGACAAATTAGGGAGAGGCTCAAATGACTGGTTATGAGGTTGTATTGCAAGTTTTTGAGTAGAAGCATATACACATACACGAAAGAAGGTATTGTGGGTGAGAGCGCTGAATACGGTGTCAGAACACAGGCAATGTAGCCCCAGCTCCTCCTGTCACTATGACCCAGCAAATCCCATGACACCACTGGGAGTCTATGTGTCATCTAAAGTCCCTTCCAAATTCTACATTGCAAAGTGATGCAGACTTGGGCTCTGGTGGTGACAGTGACCATGGATAGGCAGGGAACTTTGTGACTGCCTGAGTAATGAGGCTTGGTGACTGCCTGAGTAATGAGGGACCAGATGAAGGGAGACACGAGGGAAGATTCCAGCATTTGAGCCAGGATGGGGAAGTCGGGAAGAGAGCAGGTTTGGAGGAAAGAAAAGTGATCGTAGTTTGAAGATACTGAATTTAAGATGAGAGTAACACATCCTAGTGGAAACCAGTGTCTAGGATTGTTAGCAATGGTGGGCCACTGATTCTTCCAACATGTGCAGGGCAATAGGTGGAAGCCATGAGAATGAATGCCATCAAATCATCAATGTAACTCTGAACCATCTTGCCTCTGATGTCCTATGACCCAGAATGTGACCTTGATGGCTAAGAGAAATGTTTGTGAAAAGACAGGGTCAGGCGGGGTGTGGTGCCTCACGCCTGTAATCCTAGCACTTTGGGTGGCTGAGGTGGGAAGAGCACTTGAGGTCAGGAGTTTGAGACCAGCCCGGCCAAATGGTGAAACCCCATCTCTACTAAAAATACAAAAATTAGGCCAGGCACGATGGCTCATGCCTGTAATCCCAGCACTTTGGGAGGCCGTGGTGGGTGGATCCCATAAGGTCAAGAGTTCGAGACCATCCTGGCCAACATGGCGAAAGCCTGTCTCTACTAAAAATACAAGAATTAGCCAGTGTGGTGGTGTGTGCCTGTAATCCCAGCTACTCAGGAGGCTGAGGCACGAAAATCACTTGAGCCCAGGAGGCGGAGGCTGCAGTGAGCCAAGATCACGCCACTGCACTCTAGCCTGTGCAACAGAGTGAGACTGATTCAGAAAAAAAAAAGGGGGGTGGTGGTTGGTGAAAGTAAATGCTGGAACAAACAGAAATGGAAATTTGTAGTTGCCCCTTAGAGCCCTGGGGATCAGCACACAGGGAGATTTGAAGGAAATGTTCACAGGAGATCCCGATTTCAAAGAAGTTTTCGGTGGAAGGTTGCAGCTTTGTCCCTGGTCTCTAGGCTCTGGCTCTGGCCCTGGCAGGAAGCCAACCCACTTCCCCTCCAGATTGCCCCAGCTGCTGCTATGGGTTTTCTCTCTCTGCTCTTCTCCCTCTCTTCACCCTTAGGAAGCCTCTGGCAACCTGAAAAGTCACCCCAGCCATCTTGTCACTGCCCAATTGTTACCCATTCCCTCTCCTACCCTCTGAAATTCAAAAATCTATTGTATAATTTAAGTGTATCCAGTGAAAAATGTTGGCTTTGAAATATAGTTGCAGTAGGTTGCATTTCATTTGCCTTTATGTAATTAGGAGACGAGACCTAGGAGCTGTCATGAATGTTTGTGAAATCACAAACATATCAGTGGCTCTGAGTTCACCAGGGAGGATGCTTCCCCTTGCTGGCTTGAGTGGGCAAGCAGGGTGCAATGGAGCCTAAAGTTAGAGTGCAGTGGTAGTGGTGATGGTGGCAGTGACATGCTGGTGGTGGTACTGGCAGGCAGCCATAAATTTCCAAAGCAATTGGTAAGAGTTCCTGACCCCCCAGAAAGCTAAGTTGCTGGTGGCACTAGGACATGATCTATTTTACAACCTCTCCAAGGTGGGTAATTTCCAAGCATCTAGTGCCAATTGGCCCTACATGGCAATGAACTCATTCATTCAGCTTCACTGACTGAGCAAGAGTTCATGACCAGGGTCAGGACAGCCGTGGGCACCAGCAATAAGGAGCATTTTATGTCTAGCCTCTCTGTCAGAGGACTGAATATTGGGAGGGAAAAAGGGGGAATAATATGATTTGGGGCCTGGCACAGTGGCTCACGCCTGTAATCCCAGCACTTTTGGAGGCCGAGGCAGGCGGATCACTTGAGGTCAGGAGTTGGAGACCAGCCTGGCCAGCATGGTGAAATCCTGTTTCTACTAAAAATACAAAAATTACCCGGGTGTGGTGGCACACTCCTGTAATCCCAGCTACCCAGGAGGCTGAGGCAGGAGAATCACTTGAACCTGAGAGGCAGAGGTTACAATGAGCTGAGATCGCATCACTGCACTCCAGACTGGGTGATAGAGTGAGACTCATCTCAAAAAAAAAAAAAAAAAAGTGATTTGGGCCTTGGGTCATGCCAATCCACATGGGACTTCAAGTTTGTGGGGAGTCTTGAGCAAAAGCCCACTTTTCTCCAAAGAGATGCACTTTACTTTTCCTTTCAGCTCTTCCTCCAGGTTTAATACTTTAGTAGCCGACCTCCCTGAACCCAGTTCCCCTTCTCCCAGGTCTTGTTGCTTTCTCACTCCTGAGCCTAATCCTGGCCTCATGTCCTTTCCTTGAAAATGTCACACTAATCACAGAGATTGAGCTCCACAAGTGCCCCCCAGTCATTTCCCTCCACATCCTCCCAAATCCCCCCAGGATGAGGCTGTGCCTGTCTCACTTCCCACGTAGTTTTTTTATCCAAGCTTGGTTCGAGATTTGTCAGTTCTTAGTTAAGTCTAGTTCAGTCTCATAGACTGTTTTTTGTTTCAGTTCTTCCAGGCACTGGGCCAAATGACCCATCCAAAGCTGATAAAGACCCACTGACCTAGGCACAGGAAGTTCTGTGAGGTGAATGAATTTCTGGGTGGTCCTAAAATAAATCCTTTCCTTCTTGTGCCTAACCCTAGGACAACCTACTGAGTCCACAGTTTGACCTGGAACATGGAGTGGAGGTAGGAGGAAGAGGTGACACTGCTCTTTCACCAGTTTCTAGAAACTTGGTGAAATTTTACCTTCTGGGCCTCAGTTTCCTTCCTTTTTTTTTTTTTTTTTTTTTTCCCTGAGACAGGGTCTCTCTCTGTTGCCCAGGCTGGAGTGCAATGGTACAATCTTGGCTCACTGCAACCTCCGCCTCCTGGGTTCATGCAAGTCTCCTGCCTCAGCCTCCTGAGTAGCTGGGATTACAGGCATGCACCACCAGCTAAGTTTTGTATTTTTAGTAGAGATGGGGTTTCACTATATTGGCCAGGCTGGTCTCGAACTCCTGACCTCAGGTGATCCTCCCGCCTTGGCTTCCCAAAATGTCAGGATTACAGGTATGAGCCACCATGCCTGGCCAGTTTCTTTCTTCATAAGATGATTTTGAAGGCCCCTTTCGGCTCTGATAGTCTAGGATACTATGCACCTGGGTCAATTGGTTTTAAGCACTTTCAAGGCTTGCTTTCCTGTCATTTTCAGTCTAGAAAGTTTAACTTCCAGGGCTGGCCTAAAGGTAGAGCTTATTTTTAAAAGGGAGGGCTAGTTCTGATTCAACAGTAGACCTAAGTGTTTGGTTGGACTTGGATCTGCTTCAAATTTCCAGGAGACATGAAGCATAATGACGTGTAATCCTTAAGACCTAGACCCTTACTCTCCCAGAGAGGAGCTGGAAACAGACCGCTTACTGAGGGATGCATAAGGGAGTACCTGTCTGGGGTTTCACCAGTGTTGTGTGGAGGGGACTCGGCTTTCTAAATATCAAGCTTCTGGGAAATATTGAGTGGGGGCTGGTGGTGAGGTGCGGGGAGGCCACGGGAACTACAGACTACTAAAGGCAGGGATTATGTTTAGAAGCCACGGGGCTGAAGCCCTTGGGTGACAAGCTGTTGATGGTCCCAGGCCCGGGAAGGCTACTTTGGGATAGTGCATCCCCAGCTCAGTGCACACAGGCGGGAAACTGGTCCCCTGTCCCAAGCCCATAGCATCTCCTGTAGAGTTTTCTTTGGCTCCGAGAAGCAGAGGCCTCCCCTGAGCCCTGGCCCCCCTCTACCGCAAAGCAACTGGCTTCCATTACCCCTGACAGCTCCAGAGCAACAGCCCAGCCCCCGGCCCCGGCCTGGCTCAGTGCCGTTCCCTTTTATGGTGAAGCTGAGAGAAAGCATGGAGTGAGGGGGGAGAAAGCTCTGGCTTGGGCAGAGGCTTGGAGAGTTCCAGGGTGCCTCTCCCCTCGCCAGAGACCCTCGGCTACCCGCAGCCACCGCTCTTCGTTCTCTTCGGCGACCTAATCTGTCCTGAACCCAGGACCCCTCTTGCTTGTCCCAGCCCTTCCTCCTCTTCTCCATTCCTCCCCTTCTCCCTCCCCCACATCCGGGGGGTGATTTCCCACTTGGCCGAAGTCCCACGGTTTGGGTTTTGATTCCGGGAGGGTCCGCCCTATTTCCGACGCCCACCTCCGGGGGGTAGGGTGGAGGGAGGGAGCCCGGCTAAGACAGAACCTGGTCAGATCACAAAAGGCAGGATGGTTCTACTTGGTTGCATGTGGGTCACAAAGGATGGCGCCGGAGAAAGGAGCACCCGGCAGCACCAGCCCTGTCCCCATTCTACAACGCCTCCTACCCCTGTCCCCGCCGTCCGGGCCAGGGAGAGGGCACTGAGGGCAGGACCCAAAGGAAGCACCTGGTTGGGCCGGGCCGGGAAGCGAAGGGTGGGCAGCAGTACTGAGGGCCGGGGCCGGAAGGGGGTTGGAGTATCCCGCCGGCCCCGCCGCTGCACCCTCGCCCCAGCCCACTCCTCGGCTCCGGGGAGGCGGCCACCACGGCTTCGCTAGCCGCGTCCCGAGCCACGCCAGCTGCAGCCAGCTGTGCGGTGCCGGGCCCAGGCGCGCGTCCGCAGCCCCGCCCCACCCCCTACGGCTGGACCTCCCACCGCAGCCGCGCCCGAGGCCCCGCCCCAGCCGCGGCCGTAACGCGCCGCGCGGAGCCGACGAGACGGCGGGGCTAGAGAGGCCGTCCCGACCGCGCCCCCCGCCGGAAGCGGCTTGTTCGGGCCTGAGCTGGCGCTACGAAGTTCCGGTCCAGGTCTCTGACTTCGGGCTTGTTCGCTGGTGGCGTCGGAGCCGAGCCGGACTGGTCAGGTCAGAGGCACGCAGGGGCCGTCCCACGGGCCAGCCCCGCCGTGGCCGTGGCCGTGGCTGGCCCGTGGGGCGAGGACGGGTTCTTGCGAGGGCGAGGAGTGCGCCAGCCCGCAGCTCAGCCCCTCTCTTCTCCGCAGGATGATCACGGACGTGCAGCTCGCCATCTTCGCCAACATGCTGGGCGTGTCGCTCTTCTTGCTTGTCGTTCTCTATCACTACGTGGCCGTCAACAATCCCAAGAAGCAGGAATGAAAGTGGCGCTTTCTCCGCCCCAGGTAACGGCCCGGGGCTGTAGCGCCCAGTCCCCAGAGCTGAGTGGCGAGGCCGCGCCAGGGCTAGCAGGGTTCGAAACTTACAATCAGAAAGTGTCGGGCCAAGCATGATACAGTCCAGAACTGGGCCCCTTTGTCTGCACAGAGTAGAGAGAGAGCGCGCTGTCCTCTCCCCGTAACCTGTTCCCTGCTAGAATGGGAGTGGGTTGCCTAACCCTCACAGTCTCCAGTAGGTAGATGCCCAAGTTGGGAGTATAGTTGTAAGGAGGCACTGACACCGGTAGGAACGAAGGTACCGAGGGAACCATCCAAGTATGAGGATTTGGGCTCTTAAATAGCCCTCATTTTCCCCAGGTTGTTTAGGCCTTATTTGGGCAGATTTTTTTTGGTGAGGGGGGTGACAGATGTAGAATTCTGTTTCCATGTTCTGAGGCCAGGGGTTGGCTGCTGACCCAAACTATAGAGAAGGAAGGGGGGGCTTTGGAGCCAGCCTTAAGTGTGGGTCACAAGTATAAAGGGAACATGGATGGGCGTTACTTCCTGAAGGATTCCCCAGAGGAAAGCTGCAGCATTTTCCTTACCTCAGGTCTTTCCCCCTCTTTTCTAGGGTTCCAGGACATAGTCTGAGGCAAGATGGAGGGTATGAGGGGCCTTCACACTTCACTTCATCCCTTCTACCCATCACAACATACAAAGCAACTACACCTGGATTTTTCCAAACAACTTTTATTTCCTCAGAGTCTTCCTTAATCCTATGGAACAAGAAGCTGCCACTGAATAGGGCCCAGTATAGGGGCTTGCTTTTCTACTCCCTCCCCCCAATATAAAAATATAGACTTTTTTTTGTGGTCCCAAAATCTTGTGCTGCGGAGGGAGGGAAGGGGTGGCAGGTCCCTGTTTTGTTCTGTCTCAAGGTGATACTCTGTAATGCCTTGGACAGCGTGGCTGGCATTCCAAGGACTTAACGGCTGTCACATGGAATCAGCGGCCTGGAGGGGAACTAGCATATTTCCCACTGTTACCCCATCTTGGGGCTATATCCTGGGCTTGAACATAAAGGCATTATCAGACCCGGGGAGAAACAGTCAGTGGGGGAGATTTAGGGACAAAACAAACCTCAGGTTGGCCCAAGGGACCCCTGCTGTAACAATTCCAGGATGGGGAGTCAGATAGACTACAGGATATAGGAGAAAAGGCAGGGGCAGAGCGGGGCCGTGGGGGCCTGGCCTGAGGCAGCCTGCAACAGAAAAGAGAGAGGAATCAGGGCTGTGAAAACTCTCCTCCTCTTCTGTTCTGCTAACCAGGGGCTGGGAAGTGAAAGAAGTGGAGCGAGATGAAGATGGGTAAGGATGGGCAAGTTGGTTACTGCACAGTGGTTTGACGCTGGAACCAGCCAGCTCCTAGACCTTAGGCCCTGACTAAAAGTTGTTTTCTTTTGCTTTGGATTGAAGACTTGGCCATGGTGGGGGAAAAAAAAATCAGGGACTAGATTCTTAATGGAAGTACATTTAGTCTTTGTGCTCAAAAGGAGTAGGGAAGCAGAAAATTATTCTGAATGACAGAAATGGGAATGAGGGGACAGAAGTGAGGGGTGGTGTGAGGGACTGGACCCAAGTGCTCACCCTGGTGTAGCAGAGCAGGATCCCAGCTCCAGCTCACTGCTCTCCCTGGTCCGGGGGGTAGGGGATGTGGGGCCTGAAGAGCCTTTCATCCCTCTGCGAGTCGGCGGTGAGCCCCGGCCCAACCTGGGCCTAGCCTGTGTGGACAGGGTTTGCGCTAAGAGGCTGGATTCTTCCATGAGTTTTTTGCTTTTAGTTTGCTTCTAGAGTTTCCATGCATAAGAGTGTTGTAGTATAGGGATCAGTAGAGGTACTGGGACATTGAATTCTAGCTGAGAGGGTGAGGCAAGATAATAGCCAGAGAAGTCCTGGATTCAGTCCATGACTATGCACTCCAAGTCTATAACTAGGGGTGGCAAACGGATCCAGCATTTAACCGCCATGGCTACACCATGACTAAGGTCTGGGTGAGTAGAGAAACACTGTGTAGAAAGATAGTGGAGGGTTGGTAGACCTCTCTCAGAGCCCTCTATGCTTTAGCCCCTGCCAGAGCAGTGTACACTTCACCCATCCAGTCAGCCTCTGCCTATACTCAGCTTTACCTAGCATGGGGATCTGGACTGAATCGGAGTTGGTGGCAGGGCTGTTCCTAGCAGCAGCAACCAAATGTGTTACCTGGGGAATCCGGGACCCCTCCTGGCGGAAACTCTCCTCGGACAGGTCTGGGCAGAAAGAGAGGAGAAGCTAAGGGCAGGGGCAGGGAAAGCCAAAGCTAGCAGGCTAAGGTTGGGGTATATCTGGCAGGGACACAGGTTGAAAGCAAGCAAATGACCTGGCTGATGGGGATGGTGGAGGGCAGGAAGGGGACTGGACAGACAGGCACTCAGGCACCAGAGAAGCTCTCTGATGTGGCCAAGGGTAGATGCAGTAAAGCAGTGCTGAGCATTTTCCCTCCCACTACCCAGAGGAACAGTGCCTTGCTGGGTTCTGCCAGAGTAGCTATGCTGGAGACCCAAAAATATTACCTGCAATCGAGTCTTGATGCAGGGCATCCGAGCTCCAGTCCCTAGCAGACCTTTCCCGATTACCATGACAGCCTCTGGTTTGTCTCCAGAGGACAAGAGTGAGCAACTGCTCCCTAGGGAACAGAGGAAACTGATCAGGGTAGGGGTCACAGAGAAGAGGAGGTAACTTCCAAAGGATCAGGGTTTCTTAACCTTGGCACGTTGACAATTTGGGTTGGATAATTCTTTATCGTGGGGAGTAGTCTTGTGCATTGTAGGATGTTTCGCAGCATCCCTAGCCTCTAAACAATTTATGCTGTTTCCTCATCTCCCCCCTCCTCAGTGTAACAACCAAAAATGTCTCCAGATGTTGCCTGATGTCACCTGGCAGCAAAATCACCCCTGGTTGAGGCTCTAGTCTGGTGGTCCAAGGGGTGGAGCAGCAACTCCAGGCTAGAATCGGAACGCACCCAAGCTTAACTCCTGTGTCAGTTTATACTGCCGCAATCATATGTTTAGCATTTGAGGATCAAGTCAGCTCTACCCAGGACTGGTGGGTTCAGTGCTACCCATTGAGGAGAGTTGACAGGTTGGGAGTAGGGGTCTTTGAATGAGGTAGAACATGTTGGACTAGAGTCTTAAAATCATTCCCATCCCTTTCTTTATATAGCTGGGTCTATAATTTAAAGGAGAAGAGATGGCTTTGTGTGAATGATACGGCTACACACAGCATTTAGCAGTGTTGACAGGAGAAAGTACCGTCATGCTTTTTTCATTCTCCTGTTTTGTCTAGTGTTGCCCAGCTCCTGGAGTCAGGGAATTTGCATAAGTAGCATTTTGCAGGTAGACAAAAGTCTTCAGGTTCCTCAACTGATAAAATGAGATTAAGTGTGTAGAGCAGTGCCTGGCACATAGTAAATGTTCAGTAAATGTTAACTATTGTTTTATTACACAGACACATTAATAAATTCCAGCTTCCTATACAAAGGCACCAGTGTTAGAGGTTTAGGATACCAAGAGGATAAGTGATGCCCCTGGTCTCCCAACTAGGCTTAAAGAACCTGGCCTGGCCATGGAGGAGGCTGGCAAACCCAGATTTCAGTGGCAGTGGGTACAGACCTGGTATGTTGAATGAATCAGGCAGTAGACAGGAGCCCAGCTTGTGTGAGGAGGCTGGGCCAGAACTAGTAGGAGCTGGGGATGGAGCGAGGCTGCCTGCAGGACGATGGTTCAGGGGCTGCTGCTGCCGTCTCCTGTCCTGGCTTCGGGGCTCTGAGTGGAAGAGATACAAGCAGATAAAAGGGCAAATAAGTGGGGCACTATGAGGCAGCCTTCACTGACCTGCTGGCTTCCGTGGTCAAAAGATGCCAGTTTTCAAGCTTGTCATCAGACCCACATCCCTCTCCTGAAGTAACTATTAATATAAGATGGGTAGAAAGACCTACTATTTATTACAGTTATCCATTCTCCACCAGCCTTCATCCTGCTAGTTTTTTTTTTTTTTTTTTTTTTTAAAGGTTTCCACTCTGTCATCCAGGCTGAAGAAGTGCACAATGGCACGATCATGGCTCACCGAGCCTCAGCCTCCTAGGCTCAGGTGATCCTCCCACCTAGCCTCCTGAGCAGCTGGCACTATAGGTGCCCGCCACCATGCTCAGCTAATTTTTTTTTTGTTTTGTTTTTGAGACAGAGTCTCGCTTTGTTGCCCAGGCTGGAGTGTGGTGGTGCGATCTTGGTTCACTGCAACCTCCGCCTCCCGGGTTCAAGCGATTCTCCTGCCTCAGGCTCCCGAGTAGCTGGGATTACAGGCGCATGCCACCATGCCTGGCTAATTTTTGTATTTTTAGTAGAGACAGGGTTTCACCATGTTGGTCAGGGTGGTCTCAAACCCCTGACCTTCTGATCCACCCGCCTTGGCTTCCCACAGTGCTGGGATTACAGATAGGTGTGAGCCACCGCGCCCAGCCTAAATTTTGTATTTTTAGTAGAGACGGGGTTTTGCCATGTTGCCCAGGCTGGTCTTGAACTCCTAGGCTCAAGAGATCCACCCACCTCCGCCTCCCAAAGTGTTGGGATTACAGGTGTGAGCCACCGCACCTGGCCAGTTTATTCTTTTGGCAAAGAAGTTACTGAGCTTGGCTAACACAGCTTTCCTTGGTTCCCCTCTTACCACTGATTGCTTCTCTTCCAGCTGTTCTTCCTGCCCCTTAAATGTCAAGTCTTCCCCACCATTCTGTCCTTGGGCCTCTCCTGCTCTACTTACTCTTAAACTCCCAAATCACTCTGTAGCCCTTTTCTCCTGAAATCCAGCTCTAATTGTCCACTGGAGATTTTTTTCCCAAGAAAGTCCCCTTGACAAAACAAAACTCATTCTCTCCCTTTCTTTCATTCTCCCTGTCTTCATGCAAAACCCAACTGCTAGAAACCTTGTTTCATCTTTCTACTATTCCTCTCTTAGATTTGCATTTGTGTAATCAAATCCTACAATTCTATCTCTGCATTCACCTGAGGTTTTTTTTTTTTTTTTTTTTGGAGACAGGGTCTCACTCTGTCACCTAGGCTGTAGTGCAGTGGCATGAACATGGCTCACTACAAACTTGACCTCCTGCATCCCAAGTAGCTGGGACAACAGGCACACGCCACCAAGCCCAGCTAATTTTTAAATTTTTTGTGGAGATGGAGTCTCACCATGTTGCCCAGGGTGGTCTGGAACTCATGGGCTCAAGCGATCCTCCTGCTTCAGTTCCCAAAGTGCTGGGATTACAGGTGTGAGCCATTGCACTGGGCTTGAAGATCTAAAGGATGAAGTCTAAACTTTTGAACACTACACATTCAAAGCCTTGCCCACTATAGTTCCAGTCTGCAAATCCTTAGTAGGATGCTGATTTGATCCTTCATACCCTCTGCTATAGACCCCATGGCTACTAGTTGTGTGTGGTTCCTCTGGAACTGTTTCCTTTTCTAGTGAAACCATGACCATCTTTCATGTCCCATCTCAAATGTTACCTCTCTTACTTGAAGCTTACTTGACCATTACAGGCAACATTAATTGTTCTCTTCTCATTACCTTCATCCTTTGTTTGTGTGGCTAGTAGTTCATGGTTTCTGTTTAATTAAGTTAGTATGTGTAAAGTACTTAAAGGCACATACTACTCAATAAACATAAGCTAATATTTTTTCTAACTGGAACTTGAGTTTCTTGGGAGTAGGGACTTTGTTGCCTCCAACACTATATATCCCAGTGCCTGTAAAATGCTGCCTGAAAAACCAGAGACCTTAATCAATGTTTTGTTTACTTGAACAGCAGACACCATGAGCTGGATCAATCATCTGTGGGAGTCTAAAGGCATACAGTTATATCCTTTGGGGCAGCTGTCTCTGGTCCACTCATGTCTCGAGACTTATTACTACAAGTTCTGAAGGGTGGGGCCCAGGGGGACAGATGGTAAATGGATGGGGTAGGGAGGCTTGCAGCTTTGGCGTGTCCTTCCTCATCACAGAGGAACAGCAGGTGCCAAATGCTCTCAAACTGATGGGCTATTAACTTTTCATAGAACTGAATTCACCAGAGGTGCCAGCATGCCAACTGACCATTAATAAACGTGTTGGATATGAAAATCCTCTAACTTAAGAAGTGACAGTAACTTCATCTTCCCAGCCACACTGGGAATTAGCAGGCAGTGACAAGAATACTTTTGAAAGGTCCAAACCAGGTCAGGCACGGTGGCTCACACCTGTAATCCCACCACTTTGGGAGGCTGAGGCAGGCGGATCACTGAGTTCGGGAGTTCGAGACCAGCCTGACCAACGTGGAGAAACCCCGTTTCTACTAAAAATACAAAAAATTAGCCAGGCGTGGTGGTGAGCGCCTGTAATCCCAGCTACTCCAGAGGCTGAGGCAGGAGAATCACCTGAACTCGGGAAGCGGAGATTGCAGTGAGCTGAGATCGGCCACTGCACTCCAGCCTGGGCGACAGAGTGAGACTGTCTCAAAAAAAAAAAAAAAAAAAAAAGGTTCCAAACCAAAATGGAAAAAAAAAAAATTGAATGGAAAAAAAAAATCGATACTTGTATGAATAAAGAAGAAAGGGAGAGATCTCAGGATGGAAGCTACTCTATTATGAGGAGATATGCTGGGTACCAATTATAGGTTAAGACGGTGGTCAAGAGTCAAAAACGCCAGGCACGGTGGCTCATGTGCCTTGGGAGGCTGAGGCGGCTGGATCACTTGAGTCCGGGAGCTTGAGACTAGGCTGGGCAACTTGGTGAAACCCCATCTCTACTAAAAAAAGAAATACAAAAATCAGCCAGGTGTGGTGGTGTGCACCTGTAGGCCCAGCTACTAGGGAGGCTGAGGCTGGAGGATCACTTGAGCCAGGGACACGAAGGTTGGAGTGAGCTGTGATCACGCCACTGCACTCCAGCCTGGGTGACAGAGCGAGACTGTCTCAAAAAAAAAAAAAAAAGTCAAAAACAACCAGATGTTAGGGGGCTAGTGAGAGTTGTTGGCACAGGTTGCCAATAGGATAACAGAAGTCAAGACTCGTGGCCATAGTCAAATAACCTAAAACATTAGCTACCACCAATGACAGAGATAGTCTAGGGCCCAGAGCCAAGTAATTCTGTGATTAAAATGGATGTCAGGATGATGTCCAGCTGACAGTGCACAGTAGGCAGAAATCATGAACTTGATAGAGGAAATAGTTTAGATAATTTGAGAAATATCTACACACACAGGCATGCTGAAACCATATTAAGGGACAAACCTTCACCCTACCCCAGGAAAGGGTAAAAGCAAGTGAGAAAGAACAAGCAAGAGTGCAAGAGTGATGTGATCAGCTCTGCTTCCAGAGGTTATGAAATGGTATCTTATGGCAACCAGCCAGATGTTCCATTTTGGGGGTGGTAGGATAGTACTGGGCAAAGGTCTAAGAGGTCTGAGGGGAGACTGATCTCCCCTTGAATGAGTCAGAATGGGTGTTCTAAGGTCTCACTGTTTACAGCAGCAGTTACTTGACTTGTGCCAAGGTCCTGTGTGTCATCCTCCCTGAACGTCTTTGGAACCGTCCCTAGCACTCCAGATCTTAGTGAATCCCTGGGACAATCACAGACCTGATTTATGCCCTCTGAGGGGTAGAAAGGTGGGACAAGCATTCTTTTTTTTTTTTTTTGAGACGGAGTCTCGCTCTGTCGCCCAGGTTGGAGTGCAGTAGCGCGATCTGGGCTCACTGCCAGCTCCGCCTCCTGGGTTCACGCCATTCTCCTGCCTCAGCCTTCCGAGTAGCTGGGACTACAGGCACCCACCACCACACCTGGCTAATTTTTTGTATTTTTAGTAGAGATGGGGTTTCACCATGTTAGCCAGGACGGTCTCGATCTCCTCGAGACCTCGTGATCTGCCCGCCTCGGCCTCCCAAAGTGCTGGGATTACAGGCGTGAGCCACCACGCCCGGCCGAGACAAGCATTCATTTGGTTCCCAACTTCTTGCTTTTTATTCATTCAACAAATACTTGCTGTTCACTTACTAAGTGGCAGGCAGAGGACTAGATGCTAAGGGCATAAGTAGATGTGTTAGGAGACACTTCCTGAAGCTTTTGTTTGCAGTGGAAAAAGTAGCCTTAAAGCCCTCTTAGTTCCTCTGTCTTCTACCATCACTGAATCCTGCCCCCTTTTCTAATACTTATCTCTCTTTTCCAGATGCTGGTATTGGCTCTGGTCATCTCACCCCGTTTCCTGTCCAATATGTACAGTTCACAGACAGTGTCTTACACAGTCTTACGTTTATTCCCATTTGTAGAAACACACAGTTGTTGCCATTGTCTCAGTTAAGCTCATAATCATTGTTCTCAAGACATTTCAGCTACTGCTCTCTTCACCTAATATCCTTGGTGACGGGCTTGGCCTTTTGCATACCCACCTAGGTACACAAGCTTTTTGTCCTCTCCACCCACCAGCTCTGTTCCTGCTCCTGGCTGTCATTTCTCACTTTGGGAATGTTTCTGTCAAACTATGTCTTACCTATTTTTCAAATTATTTCTTAACTGAACATTCTTTGGCTAATTACTCTTGTGTTTATCCACCACAGTAGTTCCCCAAACCCTCAGGATGTTTACAGTGTTTGTGCGCTCTCATGTTGTATTTACT